>NC_000009.12:36373636-36525151 GCF_000001405.40 Homo sapiens | reverse complement strand
AGAGATCAAGACCATCCTGGCCAACATGGTGAAATCCTGTTTCCACTAAAAATACAAAAATTAGCTGGGCGTGGTGGCGGGCACCTGTAGTCCCAGCTACATGGGAGGCAGGGGAATTGCTTGAACCCGGAGGCGGAGGTTGCAGTGAGCCGAGATCAGCCACTGCACTCCAGCCTGGGCAACAGAGCCAGAATCTGTCTCAAAAATAAATAAATAAATAAATAAATAAATAAATAAATAAATAAATAAATAAAATAAGGCCAGGCACGGTGACTCATACCTGTAATCCCAGCACTTTGGGAGGCCAAGGCAGGCAGATCACCTGAGGTTGGGAGTTTGAGACCAGCCTGACCAACATGGAGAAAGCCTGTCTCTACTAAAAATACACACACACAAAAATTAGCCAGGCGTGGTGGCGCATGCCTGTAATCCCAGCTACTCCAGAGGCTGAGGCAGGAGAATCACTTGAACCCAGGAGACAGATGTTGAGGTGAGCCGAGATTGCACCATTGCACTCCAGCCTGGGCAACAAGAGCAAAACTCCATCTCCAAAAAATAAATAAATAAATAAATAAAATAAATTAAAAAAATAAAAAGATTTGGACACAGAATTTAAAAAAATTAAATTTTATTGTAGCTAATAAATTATTATTTTAAAAACATTTCAAATTATTTTTATCTTATTTTATCTATTAGCTATAGAAAAATATTTTTGTGACCAGTGATATTTAATGAGTACAATGTGATCGAATGTATTTCTTTATTCTAAGAATATTTTAAAATAATTTGTGATATAGAAATTTAAAGGTCTGTTTTTTTATTTTTTCTTGAGATAGAGTCTTGCTCTGTCATCCAGGTTGGAGTGCGGTGGTGCAATTTCAGCTCACTGCAACCTCCACCTCCTGGGTTCAAGCAATTGTCATGCCTCAGCCTCCCAAGTAGCTAAGACTACAGGCACCTGCCACCACGCCCGGATAATTTTTGTATTTTTATTAGCCATTGCACCCAGCCCACGTCTGTTCTAATTTCAGCTTTTGTGGATGCTTTGTTTGGAGACTGTCATACTAAAAAAGATGTTTCACAGTGACATGTAGATCCACAACTATACTAAAACTTGATATCCTCTTTCAATTATAAATACTATGCACAGCATTTTGTTGAAATCCAACTAGTAAATTTTCATCTTCCTTTAATCAATTTTCCTTACAAACTATTTGGAAGATGTGGCACTCCAATAGTTTTAAGAAATGGGTTAGGGCCAGGCATGGTGGCTCATGCCTGTAATCCCAGCACTTTGGGAGGCCGCGGCAGGCAGATCACTTGAGGCCAGGAGTTCGAGACCAGCCTGGCCAACACGGTGAAACCCCTTCTCTACTAAAAATACAAAAATTGAGGCCGAGCCTGGTGGCTCACGCCTGTAATCCCAACACTGTAGGAGGTCAAGGCGGGTGGATCACCTGAGGTCAGGAGTTCGAGACCAGCCTGGCTGACATGGTGAAACCCTGTCTCTACAAAAATACAAAAAGAATTAGCTGGGCGTGGTGGCGGGCACTTGTAATCCCAGCTACTCGGGAGGCTGAGGCAGGAAAATTGCTTGAACCCGGGAGGCAGAGGTTGCAGTGAGCCGAGATCGCACCATTGCACTCCAGCCTGGGCAACAAGAGCGAAACTCCGTCTCAAAAAACAAAAAGATACAAAAATTAGTCAGGTGTCATGGCACGCACCTGCAGTCTCAGCTACTCGGGAGGCTGAGGCAGAAGAATGGCTTGAACTTGGGAGACGGAGGCTGCAGTGAACCAAGACCACACCACTACACTCCAGCCTGGGCGACAGAGTGAGACTCTGTCTCAAAAAAAAAAAAAAAAACAAAAACAAAGAGGCCAGGCGCGGTGGCTCACGCCTGTAATCCCAGCACTTTGGGAGGCCGAGGTGGGCGGATCACGAGGTCAGGAGATCAAGACCATTCTGGCTAACACGGTAAAACCCCGTCTCTACTAAAAATACAAAAAATTAGCTGGGTGTGGTGGCGGGCACCTGTAGTCCCAGATACTCAGAAGGCTGAGGCAGGAGAATGGCATGAACCCAGGAGATGGAGACTGCAGTGAGCCGAGATCACGCCACTGCACTCCAGCCTGGGCGACAGAGCAAGACTCTGCCCCCTCCCCCAAAAAAAAGAAAAAAGAAAGAAGTGAGTTAAAAACAACTCACTGACCCTCTTTATCTGAAAGATTTTTAAATGATTAACTTTTTTTCCATTTTCCATGTGTGTATACACAAATTGTATAGGTGACTCTCATTGGTTTTACAGTCAAATCATGTTATTATAGAAAATGCTTTTTCACCATTATAAAATGACTTTTTACACTTCTCTCTCCATTTACTTACATGGCTTTTTCCCAGCTTTATTGAGATATAATTGACAATTAGCTGCACTCGTTTAGAGTGTAAATTTTTTATTTTTTTGAGACAGGGTCTTGCTTGTATCACAAAGGCTGGAGGGCAGTGGCACGATCATGTCACACTGCAGTCCTGGACTCCTGGACTTAAGCAATCCTCCTCCCTCAGCCTCCTGAGTAGCTGGGACCACAGGCATGTGACATTACACCTGGCTTTTTTTTTTTTTAAGGCTCCACCCGTGCTGGAGTGCAGTGGCATGATCTCAGCTCACTGCAACCTCCACCTCCAGGGTTCAAGCAATTCTTCTGCCTCAGTCTCCCGAGTAGCTGGGACTATAGGCGCATGCTGCCACGCCTGGCTAATTTTTTTTTTTTTCCTTTTTTTTGAGACAGAGTCTCGTTCTGTTGCCAGGCTAGAGTGCAGTGGCTCGATCTTGGCTCACTGCAACCTCTGCTTCCTGGGTTCAAGCGATTCTCCTGTCTCAGCCTCCCAAGTAGCTGGGACTACAAGCGCGTGCCACCACATCCACCTAATTTTTGGATTTTTAGTAGACACCGGGTTTCACCATGTTGGCCAGGATGGTCTCAATCTCTTGATCTCGTGATCTGCCCACCTTGGCCTCCCAAAGTGCTGAGATTACAGGCATGAGCCACTGTGCCCGGCCTGTTTTTTGTATTTTAGTAGAGATGGGGTTTCACCGTGTTGCCCAGGCTGTTCTTGAACTCTTGACCTCAGGCAATCTGCCTGCCTCGACCCCCCAAAGTACTAGGATTACAGGCATGAGCCACCGTGCCCAGCCGCACCTGGCTAATTTTTATATTTCTTTTGTAAAGACAGTGTTTCACCTTGTTGCCCAAGCTGGTCTCAAACCTCTGGGCTTAAGTGATCCTCCCACCTCAGCCTCCCAAAGTGCTGGGATTACAGGCATGAGCCACCGCGCCCAGCCGTAGTGTACAATTTGATGAGTTCTAACATGTCTCCATACCTGTGAAACCATCAACACAATCAGGATAATGAACACATCCATTGCCCCCCAAAATATCTCATACTCTTTTGTAATACATTTCCTGACCTTCTTTCACTCAGGTCCAGGCAATCATTGATCTCCTATATACTTTATATTTGACGTATGAAGGAACAGGTCACGATATGTACCAGGTTCATGTAAGGTTGTGCCAAATAAAAACAGAAAGGTAAATGCTAAGCCCTGTATATGCTGTTGTCCCTTCTTCCAAACTAACCAATTATATAAGCCACTACTTCCCTAAAGGAGGTTCTTCCATGTGAATACATGAAACCTGGAATAAAGAGGTTTCTTCCAGTGATGCTGTGCCCTCATCCTGATAGAGTCAGTGACTCCTCTGGGCTCCCACGTTATAAACAACTCTGTAACAAAATGAAGAAAACATTACTCAGCAAAAGTCCTGGAGGACTGGAAAAAGATAGGTTGAGACTGCTTTCCATCAGAGAAGTCACCGACTCCGTTTTCTTGGATATGTCACTGATGCAAGATTGTCCTCAAAGTAAGAAGATGCATCTCAGTTAAGTAATAATAATTTTAATACTAGTCATAGCAATTACTTTCTGTTGAGTGCCTGTGATACGCCAGGTCCAGACACTTTTGTAAAGCAATCTCATCAACTGCATTTGACATTTTACTAATTGACTGCAAATAATTCTGCGTGTTTGTTGATCCATAGGCTCATTCTAATCTTGGAGTCATACACTCATTTGTCTATAGGGGTTGGCCTCTAGCGAAGTGGGCTGGGTTTAACAGTGTATTGGAATTGATATTGACCTTGGTGGGGGTCAGGTGATAACAGGAAGGGACAGAGACTGAAGACCAACTGGAGAGTGTCTGCGATACTAGGGCAGCTGCTACTGAATCCCAGGTGATTTTTGACTGGGTTTTAATCTCACCGAATCTTGTCATTTTTCCCAGAAATGTCAGAAATGCCTTTTCATATATTCCTAATTTTTACATTTTGTATTCTCTTTAAAACATTTTAACTGGGCCAGCATGGTGGCTCACGCCTATAATCCCAGCACTTTGGGAGGTCGAGACAGGTGGATCACCTGAGGTCAGGAGTTCAAGACCAGCCTGGCCAACATAGTGAAACCCCGTCTCTACCAAAAATACAAAAATTAGCTGGGCATGATGGCGGGCGCCTGTAATCCCAGCTACTCAGGAGGCTGGGGCGGGAGAATCATCAGAACCCAGGAGGTGGAGGTTGCAGCAAGCTGAGATCACACCACTGCACTCCAGCCTGGGCAACTGAGTGAGACTCCATCGCAAAAAAAAAAAGAAAAAAAAATTAGCCAGGCATGGTGGTATGAGCCTGTAATCCCAGCTAATAGGGAGGCTGAGGCAGGAGACTTGAACCCGGGAGGCGGAGGTTGCAGGGAGCCGAGATCATGCCACTGCACTCAGCCTGGGTGACAGAGTAAGACTCTGTCTCAAAAATAAATACATAAATAAACAAACAAATAAAACATTTAAAGAAGAAAAGATGGCTGGCTGCAGAGCTCATGCCTGTAATCCCAGCACTTTGGGAGCCTGAGGCTGGCAGATCACCTGAGGTCACAAGAGCAGCCCCTCCAACATGGAGAAACCGTCTCTACTAAAAACACAAAAAATTAGCCAGGTGTGGTGGTGCATACCTATAGTCCTAGCTACTCAGGAGGCTAAGGCATGAGAATCATTTGAACCCAGGAGGCGGGGGTTGCAGTGAGCAAAGATCCTGCCACTGTACTCTGGCCTGGGGAACAGAGCAAGACCCTGTCTCAAAAGAAGAAGAAAGAAGAAGAGGGGGAGAGGGAGAGAGAGGGGGAGGGGGAGGGGAAGAGGGATGGGGAGAGGATAAAAGATAAAATTAATGTTATTTGGTCAGAAAAGCTTAAGCCACTTGGTCCTTGAGGGAAAAAAAGGATAACAGAAATAAGGACGGGGTGGACTACATAGGTTTTGTGTGTGTGTGTGTGTGTGTGTGTGTGTGTGTGTGTGTTTTGAGATGGAGTTTTGCTCTGTTGCACCAGCTGGAGTGCAATGGAGTGATCTCAGCTCACAGCAACCTCTGCTTCCCAGGCTCAAGTGATCTCCTGCCTCAGCCTCCCGAGTAGCTGGTACTACAGGCATACACCAAGCCCGGCTAATATTTTTGTATTTTTAGTAGAGATGGGGTTTCACCATATTGGCCAGGCTGGTCTCGAGCTCCTGACCTCAAGTGATCCTCCTGCCTCAGCCTCCCAAAGTGCTGGGATTACAGGCATGAGCCACCAAGCCCGGCCGGGTTGCACAGTTTTTGTGGAACGTGATTTCTTTTTTCTTTTTTTTTTTTTGAGACAGAGTCTCACTCTGTTGCCCAGGCTGGAGTGCAGTGGCACGATCTCAGCTCACCGCAACCTTCGCCTCCCGGGTTCAAGCGATTCTCCTGCCTCAGCCTCTCAAGTATCTGGGACTACAGGTACATGCCACCAGCGCCACCATGCCCAGCTAATTTTTTTTTTTTTTTTAGTAGAGACAGGGCTTCACCATGTTGGCCAGGATGGTCTCGATCTCTTGACCTCGTGATCCAGCCGCCTCGGCCTCCCAAAGTGCTGGCATTACAGGCGTGAGCCACCTCACACGGCCGGAACATGATTTCTTTGTTATCCAGTTTGCACACTTTTAAGTCTATCATTCTGTAACTCAACTGCTGGATTTCCCTAAAGGAAATTGGGTACTAGATGAGGATGACAACGTGAAATTATAAAGAAAAGTGCTCAAATGAAAACATAGGCTGAAGGCCAAGTGCGGTGGCTCACACCTGTAATCCCAACCCTTTGGGAGGCTGAGGTGGGTGGATCACTTGAGGTCAGGAGTTCGAGACCAGCCTGAAACCCCGTCTCTACTAAAAAGATGAAAATTAGCCTGGTGAGCTGGGCGTGGTGGCTCATGCCTGTAATCCCAGCACTTTGGGAGGCCAAGGTGGGCAGATCACGAGGTTAGGAGTTCAAGCCAGCCTGGCCAACATGGTGAAATCCCATCTCTACTAAAAATACAAAAATTAGCTGGGTGTGGTGGCGTGTGCCTGTAGTCCCAGCTATTCTGGAGGCTGAGGCAGAAGAATCGCTTGAACCCGGGAGGCAGAGGTTGCAGTGCCGAGATTGCGTCACTGCACTGCAGCCTGGGCAACAGAGCAAGACTCCATCAAAAACAAACAAAACAAAACAAAAAACAAAGCAAAACAAAAAACCACCTGAGGTTAGGAGTTCAGGAGTTCCAGACCCAGTGTGGCCAACATAGTGAAACCCCATCTCTAATAAAATTACCAAAAAAAAAAAAAGAGCTGGGTATGGTGGTGTGCGCGTGTAATCCCAGCTACTTCGGAGACTGAGGCAGGGGAATTGCTTGAACCAGGGTGGTGGAGGTTGCAATGAGCCGAGATTGCGCCACTTCCAGCCTGGAAGACAGAGCAAGACTCCTCAAAAAAAAAAAAAAAAAAGAAAAGAAAATTAGCCGGGTGTGGTGGATCACACCTGTAGTCCCACTGTAGTCCCAGCTACATAACAGGCTGAGGCAGGAGAATCACTTGAACCCAGGAGGTGGAGGCTGCAGTGAGCCGAGATCATTCCACTGCACTCCAGCTTGGGCGACAGAGCGAGACTCCTTTTTTTAAAAAAAGAAAGGAAAAAGAAAAGGCCGGGTGCGGTGGCTCATGCCTGTAATCGCAGCACTTTGGGAGGCTGAGGCGGGCGGATCACCTGAGGTCAGGAGTTCGAGACCAGCCTGACCAACATGGAGAAACCCCGTCACTACTAATAAAAACACAAAATTAGCCAGGCATGGTGGCGCATGCCTGTAATCCCAGCTACTCAGGAGGATGAGGCAGGAGAATCGCTTGAACCCAGGAGGCAGAGGTTGCAGTGAGCTGAGATCACGCCATTGCACTCCAGCCTGGGCAACAAGAGCGAAACTCCGTCTCAAAAAAAAAAAAAAAAAAATAGAAAAAGAATAGATAGGCTGAGCTCCAGCTAAGTAAGGCAATCCGATCTGCTCTGGGCTTCCCTAGATGTTCCCAGCTATAGCCATTTCTGGGACCAGGTCCTAGCATGGGGCCAGAGGAGAAATGTATTTGTTGCAATCCTTCCACCTGCATGGTGCACTCTCAATGGAGTTTTGCATTCTAAGGCCAGAGAGAGAGAGAAGCTAGGAATGGAGGAGGGCAATGGGAACAGGGGAAAGAGAAGGAGGCTTAGATTCTCAGGCTCAAAAAATGTCAGAGCAAAAAGGGACATTAGACAGCAGTTTAGTTCAATTTTTAAAAATCTTTTCTTTCTTTACAAAATTAACATACACTTGTGGAAATGGACTGCTAAAAATAGAAATAGACATTCCTCCCTCTCCTGTCTTCATTACAGATAGAAAAACAAGCTCTCAGAAGGAAGTGACTATGCAATGTCATCTAGTTAATGAATGTAAGGGAAGTCTTCATGGAGGCAGACAATGGGATTGAACAGGGTTGTTTCCTACAGAAAGAGAAGTTGCAATGTTGAGAAGTTTTATTCAATTATCCATGTTTATAGCTAGGAAGAGACTGAAAGGAAAATAAAAACACTAGGGCAGCCTGGCATGGTGGCTCACACCTGTAATCCCAGCACTTTGGGAGGCCGAGGCAGGCGGATCACCTGAGGTTGGGAGTTCAAGACCAGCCTGACCAACGTGAAGAAACCCTGTCTCTATGAAAAATACAAAAAATTAGCCGGGCGTGGTGGCAGGCGCCTGTAGTCCCAGCTACTCGGGAGGCTGAGGCAAGAGAATAGCTTGAACCCGGGAGGCAGAGGTTGCGGTGAGCGGAGATCGCGCCATTGCACTCCAGCCTGGGCAACAAGAGCGAAATTCTGCCTCCAAAAAAGCAAACAAACAAACAAAAAAACACTAGGGCTGTCTTCTTAAAAGAAATTAAATGTTTGTTATGATACTGTGCTAAGAGCTTTATGTGCTTTTTTGTGGGGGGCAGTGTGGGACAGGGTCCTACTCAGTTGACCAGGCTGGAGTGCAGTGGTGCATTAATAGCTCACTGCAGCCTCGAAGTCCTGGGCTTAAGGAATTCTCCCATCTCAGCCTCCTGAGTAGCTGGGACCACAGGCAAATGGCACAACACCTGGCTAATTGAAAAAAAAAAAAAGTCTGGACCGGGTGCGGTGGGTCACGCCTGTAATCCCAGCACTTTGGGGGGCCGACGTGGGCGGATCACTTGAGGTCAGGAGTTCGAGACCAGCCTGGCCAACGTGGTGAAACCCTGTCTTTACTAAAAATGCAAAAATTACCCAGGCGTGGTGGTGGGCGCCTGTAATCCCAGCTACTCAGAAGACTGAGGCAGGAGAATTGCTTGAATCCAGGAGGTGGAGGTTGCAGTGAGCTGAGATCACACCACTGCACTCCAATCTGGGCGACAGAGCAAGACCCCAGCTCCAAAAAAAAAAAATTCTGGCCAGGTGTGGTGGCTCACACCTGTAATTCCATCCCTTTGGGAAGCCAAGGCAGGTGGATCACTTGAGGCTGGGAGTTCAAGACCAGTCTGGGCAACATGGAGAAACTTAAAATACAAAAAATTAGCTGGGTCTGGTGGCGTGGGCCTGTGGTGCCAGCTATTTGGGAGGCTGAGGTGGGAGGATCACTTGAGCCTGGAAGGCAGAGGTTGCAGTGAGCCAAGATTGTGCCACTGCACTCCAGCCTGGGTGATAGAGGAAGACCCCATCTCTACAAAAAGAATTTTTTTTGTTTGTTTTGAGTCGGGGTCTCTCTTTTTTTTTTTTTTTTTTTGAGACGGAGTCTCGCTCTGTCGCCCAGGCTGCAGTGCAGTGGCGCGATTTCAGCTCACTGCAACCTCCGCCTCTCGGGTTCACGCCATTCTCCTGCCTCAGCCTCCCGAGTAGCTGGGACTACAGGTGCCCGCCCCCACGCCCGGCTAATTTTTGGTATTTTTAGTAGAGTCAGGGTTTCACCGTGTTAGCCAGGATGGTCTCGATCTCCTGACCTCGTGATCCGCCCGCTGCAGCCTCCCAAAGTGCTGGGATTACAGGCGTGAGCCACCGCGCCTGGCCACCTTGAGTCGGGGTCTCTCTAAGTTGCCCAGGCTGGTCTTGAATTCTTGGGCTCAAGCAGTCCTACCACCTTGGTCCCCCAAAGTGCTGAGATTACAAGGCATGAGCCACCACACCCAGCCTGCTTTATTATTTAAGCCTTATCTCACCCCGGGAGGGAGATATAGTTATTGGCATATTTGAAAAAAGGAAACTGAGGCTCAGAGGGCTAATTAATTTGCTCAAAGTCACACTGCTAGAAAAGTTGAGTAGTTAGAACTCAAGTCTTTCTGACTCCTAATCCCATAGGGCACTTGTGTGTAAATTTAAAACAGGTGACCCTACTTCTGGGCACTTGAAGCCCTGCACCAGAGTTTATGAACACAGTAAACATGGGCAGTACATTCCAGTCCAAGCCCATGGCTCCTTTTTTTTTTTTTTTTTTTTTGACAGAGTCTTGCTCTGTTGCCCAGGCTGCGATCTGGACTCACTGCAACCTCCACCTCCCAGGTTCAAATGATCCTCCCATCTCAGACTCCCGAGTAGTTGGGACTTTGGGCATGTGCCATCACGCCCGGCTAATTTTTGTAGTTTTTTGGTAGAGATGGGGTTTTGCCATGTTAGCCAGGTTGATTTTCTTAGTTCTAGCTGTGCCATTAAGGACGACAGAGCACATTTTAAAAATACACTTCCCCAAGACAGTTCTTCAACTATTGGAAAACAGTAAGTATGTCTCCCCAGACACACTCCAGGCCAAATGTCTTCCTGACCTCCATTTATCCCTCAAAGATCATCACTGCAAGTTCCTAGAAACAGGCTCATTCATTCAACAGATGTTTATCAAGCATATCATATGGACCAGGTCCTGTGAGAAGGACTGGGAATACGTAAGATAAATAAGACAGTCCCAGCAGTTAAGGGGATTATTATCTAATGGGAATGACAAACAGAGATGCTCCTAAGCCATTGCACTGGCCCTAGTAGAAGGTGTGTAAATATAGCAGGGGTCTAAGGAGGAGACAGTCAGCTCCACCCAGGAACCCAGTGGGGCTTCATAGAGGAGGTGGGACTTCTGCCCCACTAGGTCCATGCATAGATCCCTTTATCTTCCTTTTCATTCAAGGACTTTACCTCCTTCTGCCTTCTTTTCTTGGCATTTCTCTAACACATCCTGTTGGAGTGTTATGTTTCAGGAAAAATTTTAAAAATATATTCATCTGCCACCTTAGAAATGTTTTCATAAGAAGAAAATCTAGCAGCTTGTGACAAGAATGACTATTTCAGCACATAAAGTCTGAAATAATTTTACCAGCTCCCATTCTTCTTATAGTCCTTCCAACCTGGCTTCCTCTCTTTTGTCATTTTTTTTTTTCTTTTTCTTCATCTTTCTTTCAGTCTTTTTCTCACTCTCCCTTTCGAGGCATTTTGACATTCTCATAGTTGCTCCTGACAACGTAACTTTTTCACAAACTCAGAGTGGTTAAGTGACTTGGCAGAGGGCACAAGCTGGGAAGTGGCAGAAGCAGGATTTGAACCCAATTCTGATAAAATATTCACTCACATTCAGTTATAGGAAAACAGGTTGCAGGGTTTCTATTTGACCCTTTGTTAATCCAGGAAGGCATACTTGAAAATACAATCATTGCCGGGCGCAGTGGCTCACGCCTGTAATCCCAGTACTTTGGGAGGCTGAGGTGGGCGGATCACCTGAGGTCAGGAGTTCGAGACCAGCCTGACCAACGTGGAGAAACCCCGTCTCTACTACAAATACAAAAAAAAAATTAGCCAGGCGTGGTGGTGCATGCCTGTAATCCCAGCTACTCGGGAGGCTGAGGCGGGAGAATTGCTTGAACCTAGGAGGCGGAGGTTGTGGTGAGCCGAGATCGCGCCATTGCACTCCAGCCTGGGCAACAAAGCAAAACTCCATCTCAAAAAAAAAAAAAAAAGAAAACACAATCATTTCTATCAAATGTCAAAACTCAGGCCAAACTCCCCCATCTAGTTGCCTTCTATTCTTCCTGAATAAAATACCTACTCTTAACTGTGCCTAACCCATTTTTGCTAAACGTGCACATATCCAACTATTCAATCATCACCTTTACATTAAAAAATTGTCTTCTCAGAATGTTCTGAGCCGGTACATTTGTCAAAGTCCTTTACATTTTCTTATTTTTTAAATTTTAATTTTTTTTTTTTTAGAGACAGGGTCTTGTTTGTTGTCCAAGCTGGACTGCAGTGGTTATTCACAGGTACAATCATAACACACTGTAGCCTCGAACTCCTGGACTCAAGTGATCCTCCCGCCTCAGCCTCTTGAGTAACTGGGACTACAGGCATGCGCCACTGCGCCCAGCTTCAAAGTCCTTTATCTTATCTTGGAGAGATGCAGTGTGATATAGTAAACATGATGTTTTCTAAACTTCAGTAATTTGCATACCCCTTTCGTAATTTTTTTACTCCATTATTGTACTGACTACTCCCACCTCTTTTTTTTTTCCAGACAGGGGTCTCACTCTGTCACCCAGGCTGGAGTGCAGTGGCATGATCACAGCTCACTGCAAACTTGACCATCCGGGCTCAGGTGATCCTCCCACCTCAGCCTCCTAAGTAGCTGGGACTACAGTCGCATGCCACCACACCTGTCTAATTTTCTGTATTTTTTGTAAAGATGGGGTTTTACCATGTTGCCCTGACTGGCCTCGAACTCCTGGGCTCAAGCAATCCACCTGGTTTGGGCTCCCAAAGTGCTAGGATTATAGGTGTGAGCTACTGTACCTGGCCTCTACTTTAAAAAAATATGTATGTATATACTTTATATATATATAAAATACATGTATAATATATATTATATATATTATTTATATATATATTTTATATATTTATATATTTTTATTATATATAATATTATTTATATATAATATTATTTATATATATTATACATGTATAATGTATAATATATACATATATATTATTTATATAATATATTACATATTATATATTATATATATTACAATTATATATTATGTATATTATATGTATATAATATATACATATATAATATATATGATACATGTATTATATGATACATGTATTATATATTATACATGTATTATATATATTATACATATGTATAACATATATACATATATATTTTATACATATATATACATATATATTTTATACATATATATATATATATATACACATATATATATATATATTTTATTTTTTTTTTTTTAAGGGGGATGGAGTTTCACTCTTGTTGCCCAGGCTGGAGTGCAATGGCGTGATCTTGGCTCACCACAACCTCCACCTACTGGGTTCAAGCTATTCTCCTGCCTCAGCCTCCTGAGTAGCTGGGATTATAGGCATGTGCCATCATGCCCGGCTAATTTTGTATTTTTAGTAGAGACGGGGTTTCTCCATGTTGATCAGGCTGGTCTTGAACTCCCGACCTCAGGTGATCCGCCCACCTCGGCCTCCCAAAGTGCTGGGATTACAGGCGTAAGCCACCACACCCGGCCTAAAAAATACTTTTATTTTAATTCATTCATTTTTTTTTTAAGACTGTCTTGCTCTGTCCCCCAGGCTGGAGTGCAGTGGCACACTCTCGGTTTACTGTAACCTCCGCCTCCTGGGGTCAAGCGAGCACATCTGGCTAATTTTTGTATTTTTAGTAGAGATGGAGTTTCACCATGTTGGCCAGGCTGGTCTCGAGCTCCTGACCTCAAGTGATCCACCTGCCTCAGCCTCCCAAAGTGCTGGGATTACAGGTGTGAGCCACCATGCCCAGCCCATTCATCTTTTTATTTTAAAATTTAAAGAAAACTTTTGACCACTATATAATATCCTTATCTATAAAATCAGAGCTTGATGTGCTTTTTATATATTTCCTAAACTAAAATAAATGCATATTCCACTTATACTCATTAAATTTATACAAGTTAAAAATAGAAATGCAGGCTGGGCATGGTGGCTCACACCTGTAATCCCAGCACTTCGGGAGGCAGAGGCGGGTGAATCACGAGGTCAAGAGATCAAGACCATCCTGGCCAACATGGTGAAACCCCATCTCCACTAAAAATACAAAAATTAGCCCGGCATGGTGGCGTGTGCCTGTAATCCCGGCTACTCGGGAGGCTGAGGCAGGAGAATTGCTTGAACCTGGGAGACAGAGATTGCAGTGGGCTGAGATCGTGCCACTGCACTCCAGCCTGGCGACAGAGCCAGACTCTGTCTCAAAAAGAAAAAAAAAAAGAGAAATGCACAATTATTTGTATATGTAAAAGTTTGTCATGCACTACTTAAAATAATCTCAGGATTATTGCATTGCCACTGATTTGCTATGTGACCACAGGCAGGTCACCACCTTCCAACTCTGGTTCTCAGCTTCCAGATCTGGAAAATGAGGTAGCTGGATTGAAAGTTCTCTAAGTCCCCTTCCAGTTGTTATAATTCTTCTGAGTAGCTCCAGTCATTTTTAATATTGTTTTGAGGCTTTCCCTAGCTTTTGCTCCCAGAGGAAAGCCCAGTTGCTATTGCAGTTCAGTCAGATGCAGTTCAGTCAGATACACTAAGTATTTACAGAATGAGGAGAAGAATTTTCTTTGTGCCTGTGCTCAGGGAAAAAAGATCAGGCAAGTCTTCCAAGATGGGATTCGTGGTGCGCCCGAGGGCGGCTCGGGCAAAACTGTGGGCTTGATGCTATTGTAGAAAGTCAGATGTTGTCACCGTGGTTATAGATATTGCCATTTCTTAACCTTTTTTCCTCTGGACTATAAGCTCTTTGAAGGCAAGGGCTGAAATCCTCACAGTGTGTTAAGGCAATAGTGTCTTAGTAAATGTTTGAAAATGGGAACAGAAAAGAAAGGAGAAAAGGGAGAAGAGAGAAAAGGGAGGGAAAGGAGAGACGAGAAGGAGTGGGGCTGAAGGGCTTACCCTTTTATCCCTCAGAATAAATTATTTTGGTTTATTACAGGAGTGATACCTAGTTATAAAGGGATTCTGTCGCTATTTCTGCTATCTTATTTTTCAAGAATGCATAATTTCATATGGTAGAAACTGCAGGTAGGATCGTTTTCTAGTCTTTTCACCACAGTTGAGACTATTTTGAGGCCAGGTGCAGTGGCTCACGCCGGTAATACCAACACTTTGGGAGGCCGAGGACGGCGGATCACTTGAGGTCAGGAGTTGGAGACCAGCTGGCCAATATGGCGAAACCCCATTTCTAATAAAAATACAAAAATTGGCCGGGCTCGTGGCGGGTGCCTATAATCCCAGCTACTCAAGAGGCTGAGGCAGGAGAATCACCTGAACCTGGGAGCCAGAGGGTGCAGTGGGCTGATATTGCGCCACTGCTCTCCAGCCTGGGTGATAGAGTGAGACTCTGTCCCAAAAAAAAAACAACTATTTTGAGATTTCCCTCAAGTATCTTTGATCTATTATATATAAATGCACCCTATTTAAATGATTCAAATGCAATATTAATTATTATACCTTTCCATTAATCTATTTATTTATTGGAAAAATAATTTTGAGCCCCTACTATGCGTCAGGAATCGTGCTAGGTATTGTTGAGAATATAATGATGAATAAGATATGGTTCATAAGTTCAAAATTGGCCGGGCGCGGTGGCTCACACCTATAAATCCCAGCACTTTGGGAGGCCAAGGCAGGCAGATCACTTAGGAGTTCGAGACCAGCCTGACTAACATGGTGAAACCCCCTCTCTACCAAAAATACAAAAATTAGCTGGGCGTGGTTGCTCATGCTTGTAATCCCACCTACTGGGGAGGCTGAGACAGGAGAACTGCTTGAACCTGGTAGGCAGAGGTTGCAGTGAGCAGAGATTGCACCACTGCACTCGAGCCTGGACGACAGAGTGAGACTCCATCTCAAAAAACAAATCAAACAAAAAAAAAGTTCAAGTCTTCATAGTCTATTTTGGGAGACAGACAGGTAAATTAGAATAGACCCTTGACATTTGTGAATTACTATTCATTGTTTCAGCTACTCACAAACAGCCTCAAAGATCCAAGACATGAATTTAATTGTAATGAGAATAATTATACTGATATTGTGGGCTGTTGAGAGGATTAACTGAGATTATGCATTTTTAAACACCTAGTATGAATTTGAATCAAGAGCAATGTAAGAATTTCATGCAGGAGGGAATCACTTGGCTAGTCAAGCCAAACACAGGGTGAGCAACTGGAATGGGTTGCAGGGAGGAGGGAAGAAAATCCTGTTCTCCAAATCTGGAGAAGGGAAAATATTTCTTGCAACCAATAAAAATATGGTAGATTATTTTAAAAACCTGAAAAAAAATGAAAAAGGAAGAGCAGGAGCATGCTGGTGTAATTCCAGTGAAGATCACTCATCCTGCCATCTCTACATGGGTGATATTATCATTCCCTGTCTACACAAATATAGTTGTTCATATCAATACTTGCACAGCTTTGAATCACTTAGAACACAAATTTATGACTTTAGCTGTCTATCTTTGTTAACGCCGATGATATTATTTGAATATGTCAGAAGAAAAGTGTTTTTCTTTCTTTCTTTCTTTCTTTTTTTGAGACAGAGTCACTCTTTCACCCAGGCTGGAGTGCAGTGGCTCGATCTAGGCTTACTCCAACCTCCACCTCCTGGGTTCAAGCAACTCTGGTGCCCCCAAGAATTCCAAGAATTTCCACATAGAATTTCCTTGTTCCCCTCTGCACTCATCTTGAGCAAATCTGCCTTTTTCTCACATGGCAAACCTTCAGATATATGGAAACACTTCCCATGTCCTGTCGCTTTCCCTGAGATCCTTCCTCCACCAAGACAGTGGCCTCCATCCTTTCAGCCAGTTGTCATGAAGCATGACTCCTGGATTTTCTCTTTCAATTTGGTCTTACACCAGAAGTTTCATCCCAGCTTGAAGCTAGGAATAAATTAATCCACTTTAACAAAGGCAGGACCTAATTTCAGGTGCTGTCTGGGCTCCAGTCTGACTAAAATAAAGCCTCGTACATTACTTTATTTAATTCTCCTGCAATTAAAAGTCTTAAAAATAGATGGGGGAAGAAAGAGACACATAAAAAGTAAAATACCATCTCCAAAACTGTCACTTGATATCCACAAAATGTTACCTCCCCTGGGTTTTTATATTCATAGCTCCTTGCATAGTGGAGTTTTCCTTTTGGTTGCAGCTGCAGGCTGCTTTCCCGCTTCCCTTGGGAGTTGAACATCTAGGTCCCATTCTCCTATTTCTCCTTTCTCAAAGTCTTGGGTCCCTCTGATAGAATTACTATTCAGTACCTTTCCACGGGGCTCACACTTTCCACCTTGCAGGGTCAGTGGGAGTTTTTACAGAAGATTCAGCCTCCAGCTCAGGCCTCAAATCTCTAGTTAAGCCCCCCACCCACCTTTGGATTCAGCCTATCTTTCTGCTTCTAGATTCCCTGCCTTCACATATTTTATGAATATATACACCCACCCATGTAACCACCACACAGATCACGATACAGGATATTTATAGCTCCCCAGAAGGCTCCCTTCTGCCTCCAGTCAATACCTACCCCCTCAATAATAGCCACTATTCTGGTTAGTTTGGGCTGCATCTGAACTTCTGATAAGTGGAATTACCCAGTTTGCACTCTTTTGTGGCTGGCTCCTTTCTTTCACCATCATGCCCAAGAGATTCATCCATGTTGTGTGTAGCAGTGCTTTCTTTTTTTATTGCTGTGTTCATTGTGGCAAGGGATTCAATATCATTTCAATGTGAGTCCAACGTGTGGCCAAGATTGAGAACCATGGCTAGAGTCAGACAAAATAGGGTTGGAATTATATCTTCAAAACTACTGGATCTGGATTTGCCCCTGAAATGTCCATTATTAGGTGGTCTTTGAGTTCAACCAGACATTTACCCTCAATACCATAGGCTTTACTTTGCATCAGATTCACTCAGAAGGATTCAAGACATGACACACTGTGCCAGCAGAACAACATCTGGCACTTCTCTTCAGCAGAGTTATTGTAGTTATCCAGTGATTAGTCTTCTTTGGCCCCCCAGGTGACAGCTTAGGTGCAAGGAGACAGGATCATATTCACAGGTGCAGCGACAACCTTAGTTTAGATATGCCCTGTCCCGCTGGGCGCGGTGGCTCATGCCTGTAATCCCAGCACTTTGGGAGGCCAAGGAGGGCAGATCACCTGAGGTCAGGAGTTCAAGAACAGCCTGGCCAACATGGCAAAATCCCGTCTCTACTAAAAATACAAAAAAATTACCCGGGCCTGGTGGCATGCGCCTGTAGTCCCAGCTGCTCAGAAGGCTGAGGCACCAGAATCGCTTGAACCTGGGAGGCGGAGCTTGCAGTGAGTGGAGATCGCGCCACTGCACTCTAGCCTGGGCAACAGAACGAGACTCCGTCTCGGAAAAAAAAAAAAAAAAAAGAAGAAGAAGAAGAAGAAGAAATGCCCTGGCCGGGCGCAGTGGCTCACGCCTGTAATCCCAGCACTTTTGGAGGCAGAGGTGAGCGATCACGAGGTCAGGAGATCGAGACATCCTGGCTAACACTGTGAAACCCCGTCTCTACTAAAAATACAAAAAATTAGCCGGGCATGGTGGCGGGCGCCTGTCCCAGCTATTCGGGAGGCTGAGGCAGGAGAACAGCGTGAACCCGGGAGGCAGAGCTTGCAGTGAGCCGAGATCGCGCCACTGCGCTCCAGCCTGGGCGACAGAGCAAGACTCCGTCTCAAAAAAAAAAAAAAAGAAAGAAAAGAAAAGAAAAGAAATGCCCTGTCCCAAATAGGAATCATATCTAGTGTCTCGGGAGCATAGCTATCAGGTTCTCCATAGACGATGAACTGGTTACAAGTGTCACTGCAATTAGGGTGGCCCAAAGCTGTGTTCTCATCAGGTACTTATGTATCCTGGCCCAGAAGAAGTTTACCAATCAGGAGTTATTTTTACCATAAGCGATGCTGTTGAATACCACAGCTGACATTGCCCCTTTATTAGACTTCCAGGGGGACAGAGATGGAAAGTTAACCCATATTTGTCTTAAGAGAAGAAGAAAGGGGCTGGACACGATGGCTCACACCTGTAATCCCAGCACTTTGGGAGGCTAAGGTGGATGGAACACGAGGTCAGGAGATCCAGACCATCCTGGCTAACACAGTGAAACCCTGTCTCTACTAAAAATACAAAAAATTAGCTTGGCGTGGTGGCACACACCTGTAGTCCCAGCTACTCAGGAGCCTGAGGCGGGAGAATCACTTGAACCTGGGAGGTGGAGGTTGCAGTAAGCTGAGATCACACCACTGCACTCTAGTCTGGGCGACAGAGCTAGACTCCATTAAGAGAAGAAGAAGAAGGAGAAGGAGAAGAAGAAGACCCTTAATCATACTTTTCTTTTCTTTTTTTGAGACGGAGTCTTGCTTTGTCACCCAGACTGGAGTACAGTGGCATGATCTTGGCTCACTGCAACCTCCGCCTCCTAGGTTCAAGCGATTCTCCTGCCTCAGCCTCCCACGTAGTTGGGATTACAGGTCCTGCCACCATGTCCGGCTAATTTTTTTTTATTTTTAGTAGAGACGGGGTTTCACCATGTTGGCCAGGCTGGTCTCGAACTCCTGACCTCAGGTGATCTGCCCGCCTTGGCCTCCCAAAGTGCTGGGATTACAGGCGTGAGCCACGCACCCAGCAATTATACTTTTTTTTTAACTGACACATTGACCTGTGTAGACCATTAACCAACAAGATTATTCCTGAAAACGTCCGTGTTCCTTGAGCCAAAAAACAGTATTTGGCACATGAAGATGCTGAATTAATGTTTGTCAATTAGTGAATTAATGACAAATAACAACATTAGCAGGTTACATTCAACTTAAACAAAACCAAACCAATCAAAACTATTTGATTACTCTGTTACCTTCAGCAAGTCTTAATTTCTCGAAATCCCTGCTACTTTTATAAAATGGGACTTATTATGCTTCTCATGAGGATTAAATGAAATAATGTATGTAAATACACTACAAAGAGCTGCACTTAAACCTTACTCTTATTGATGGAGAAGGGAGGCCTAGAGAGAGGGTGGGACTTGTAGTGGCACGACATAGGATGGCATGACTGTCCAGGTCTCCTGACTCTCCGTCCAGAGCCTTTTCCACAATGCCACGCGGCCTCATCATCCAAGTTGTCTTGCCCAGTTAAGGTTTAGAAATCTCAAACGAATCAGGATTTTTGTCCAGTAGAGAGAACGTGTATGAAGATCCACTTTGCACTGTGGACCTGGCATTAAGGGTGTTCCTGGTACTAAGGGTAAAATCAAGATTTTTCTCATGGGCATAAGAAAAAGTGAAAATTGGCTGGGCGCAGTGGCTCACGCCTAAAATCCCAGCACTGTGGGAGGCCGAGGTGGGCGGATTGCCTGAGCTCAGAAGTTCCAGACCAGCCTGGGCAACACGGTGAAACCCTGTCTCTACTAAAATACAAAAAAAAAAAAAAATTAGCCAGGTGTAGTGGCATGCGCCGGTAGTCCCAGCTACTCGGGAGGCTGAGGCAGGAGAATTGCTTGAACCCGGGAGGCAGAGGTTGCAGTGAGCCGAGATCGCGCCACTGCACTCCAGCCTGGGTGACAGAGTGAGACTCTGTCTTAAAAAAAAAGAAAAAAAGAAAAAGTGAAAATTATGTTCCCAGCTTGCTGCTGATTAGCAGACATAGGGCAAATAGAACCTCTAAGCAGGCCAGGTGTGGAAGCTCACGCCTGTGATCCCAGCACTTTGGGAGGCCGAGGTGGGCAGATAGCCTGAGGTCGGGAGTTCGAGACCAGTCTGACCAACATGGAGAAACCTCGTCTCTACTAAAAATACAAAATTAACCGGGCATGGTGGCGCATGCCTATAATCCCAACTACTCGGGAGGCTGAGCAAAGAGAATTGCTTGAACCTGGGAGGCGGAGGTTGCGGTGAGCCGAGATCATGCCATTGCACTCCAGCCTGGGCAACAAGAGCGAAACTCCGTCTCAAAAAAAAAAAAAAAAAAAAATAGAACCTCTAAGCATTCATTCTTCAAGGCTGTTTCCTTTTTCCTTCCCAACAGCCTCTGCAGGGAGGGGGATGTGAAAAGCAATATGATCAGAATGTAATGAAGGAACAAATCTCACTGGGAGTCAAATACCATTGTTAAAAAAAAAAAAAAAAAGGCATCATGGGCAGAAGCCCAAAAATCAGAGGCTTCCCCCAGTGTTCTTTGAATCCATTTTTTAAGCTGTTAAAAACACCCTTAAAATAAACCTGCCATCTTGTGAGGACAGGAAGAAGGTTACCCGTCTTCCCGCCACCATCTGCAGACTGGCTCAGCTTTAGGCTTCTTTGAGCCACACTCCCCCGCCCCCAGCCTGTTCTTTATAACATGTCAGGGTGGGGTTGATTGTAGTTTCTTTCCCCAACTTAGCAAAATTCAGTCACAATTAAAATTTGACGTGAACCAAGGAGAGGCTACAGAAATAGTAGTTTACAATGCATTTTATTCTTGCAATTTGACATCTTCTAATAATTTCTGACACTGTGCTTGGCCCACTTGTGTTTATCAGTCTGAATTTGGATCAGATCAGTTTAAACCTCTATCTAGGATGAAAGCTCAATCTGTTGCTGGGGTAATGGCTCAGGGTATGGTTGGGATCAGGGTTCACCCTGTAGTTGTGATTAGGGCTCAGTGTGTGGGGCTAAGAGCTAGTCTGTGATTAGAGTAGAGACCAGTCTGTGATTAGCATTAGAGCTTAGTCTGGGCTGGAGTCAGGTCTCAGCCTGTGGCAGAGATCAGAATTGTGTGTGGTGAGCTCTAGGATTCAATCAGGTAATAACACTATACGGCTCTATTCCAGGAAAGAAAGGGCAGGAAGTGTTGGTCAGGAGTTCAAAGTCCATTGAGGGTCTATCAGACCGGAAGACTGAGCAGATGGAAAATCAAGGAACCAAGAGGGGTTTAAAATAGTGACCCCCCACCAAAATGGCAGAAGTTAAAAGGACTGACAATAGCAAGAGTCTGTGAGGATGTGCAGCAACTGGAACATTTTTGTGTGTAGAGACAAAGTCTCACTCTGTTGCCCAGGCTGGAGTGCAGTGGCACGATCATAGCTCACTGCAGCCTCGAACACTTGAGTTCAAGTGATCCTCATGCCTCAGCCTTCCAAAGTGCTGGAACTACAAGCATAAGCCACTATACCCGGCCCAACAACTGAAATTTTTTTTACATTGCTAGTGGGAGTATAATTTGTACAACTACATTGGACAACTGCTTGGCAGTATATGTAAAGTTAAATATACATATCTATGCCCTGTGACTCAGCACTTTCAATCCTGGAATGAACAAACAACTACTACATACAACAACATGGATAAATCTCACAAAATAGTGTCAAGCAAAAGAAACCAGACACGAACAAGTAGTCACCATATAATTCCATTTATACAAAATTTAAAAACAGGCAAAATTAATTCATGATGATAGGAATCAGAAGAGTAGTTACATTTAGGGGGTATGGACTTGAGGGGGCCTGAGGGAGCCTTCCGGAGAGATGGTATGATCTATATCTTTTTTTTTTTTTTTTTTTTTTTGAGATGGAGTTTGAGTTTCACTCTTGTTGCCCAGGCTGGAGTGCAATGGTGCAATCTCTGCTCACTGCAACCTCTGCATCCTGGGTTCAAGCAATTCTCCTGCCTCAGCCTCCCGAGTAGCTGGGATTACAGGCATGCGCCACCATGCCTGGCTAATTTTTTTTGTATTTTTAGTAGAGACGGGGTTTCTCCATGTTGGTCAGGCTAGTCTCGAACTCCTGACCTCAGGTGATCCACCCGCCTCCTCAGCTTTCCAAAGCGCTGGGATTACAGGTGTGAGCCACTGTGCCTGACCAGTATGGTCTATATGTTTTGATCCAGATCATGGTTACACAGGTGAACATATATAAAAATTCACTGAGCTGAATATTTAATGTTTGTTGAGGAGTTAATTCCACAGTCATGACTTTTCTGCTATGGCAATTGTGATGTTACTGTCATGGCTTGTTGAGTCGGGGGGTGGTCCTGGAGGTACTGGGCTTGCAAGGGTGCAGTCCTTGAGGCAACTATGCTGGGCAATGATGTAGTATTAAAAGCCGTGGATGGCTGGATGCTGTGACTCATGCCTGTAATCCCAGCACTTTGGGAGGCCGAGGTGGGTGGACCACATGAGGTCAGGAGTTTGAGACCAACCTGGCCAACATGGCGAAACCCAGTCTGTACTTAAAAAACAGAAAAATTGCCGGGCACGGTGGCTCACACCTGTAATCCCAGCACTTTGGGAGGCCGAGGCGGGCGGATCATGAGGTCAGGAGATCGAGACCATCCTGGCTAACACGGTGAAACCCCATCTCTACTAAAAATACAAAAAATTAGCCAGGCGTGGTGGTGGGGCCTGTAGTCCCACCTACTCGCGAGGCTGAGGCAGGAGAATGGCGTGAACCCCAGAGGCGGAGCTTGTAGTGAGCCGAGGTCCAGCCACTGCTCTCTAGCCTGGGCAACAGGGCGAAACTCTGTCTCAAAAAAAAAAAAAAAAAATTAGCCGGGTGTGGTGGTGCACATCTATAGACCCAGCTACTAAGGAGGCTGAGGCACAAGAATTGCTTGAACCTGGGAGGCAAGTTTGCAGTGAGGTAAGATTGTGCCACTGCCCTCCAGCCTGGGCGACAGAAAGAGACTCTGTCCCCCTCACCTCCCCCCGCAAAAAAAACCTCTGGACTTGGAGTCCTGAGTTTGACTGTCAGCACTCTGCTTAGGATCAACTCCAGTCAGAAGCACTGGTGTGTTGTGATCAGTCATGAGGTGAGTTACACATTATTCATTGGTAATTATAAATTATTGTAGCTTTTAAAAATTTTCTTTTAATTTATTTGAATTCATAATACATGCATTTGGTTAAAAACAAATTAAATCTTGTAAAAGAAAATATAGCATAAAGGTCATTTTCTTCCCATCCCTGACTCCAAACACCAGTCCCCCAATCTCCCTCTTGAGAGGCAACCGCTGTCATCAGCTTCTTGAAGATACTTCCAGAAATAGTCTATGCATATTCATGAATGATTTCCTTGAAGAAAATCAGAGCAGATTCAAGATATGCCTATAATAATGTTGCTTGCATACAAAATGCTTTATTTTAATAATTTTCTAAATGGAATTAAGTTTTCATTATTAAAATACTATGTGCTTATTTTAAAATTGTATAAAGTAAAAGTGAAAGCTTTCTCTTCCTATTCCTTTTTTTTTTTTTTTTTTTTTTTTGAGACAGAGTCTCACTCTGTCGCCCAGGCTGGAGTGCAGTGGTGTGATCTCGGCTTACTGCAACCTCTGCCACCCGGGTTCAAGCATGTCTCCTGCCTCAGCCTCCTGGGTAGCTGGGACTACAGGTGCGTACCACCACACCCAGCTAATTTTTGTATTTTTAGTGGAGACAGGGTTTCACCATGTTGGCCAGGCTGGTCTTGGACTCCTGACCTCAAGTGATCCACCCCCCTTGGCCTCACAAAGTGCTGGGATTACAGGCATGTGCCACTGTGCTCAGCCAGGGTCTAAAGTCTTAATAACCAGCACTAATAATAATGACTTCTACTTTACTCCTTAGCCAAATTAACTACTCATCTTTGCATAATAATTGTGAACATTTGCTGAGTTCTTACTTTGTCAGGCTTTCTTCTGAGACAGGTAGCTAGACATATATATGTATGTATATCATATATGTAATATGTTATATATATATTATATAAGTTCATACATACTCATTTAATCCCTGTAACAACTCTTTGAGATTGGTACTTTTATAATCCTCGTTTGACTGAGGAGGCAACTAAGGCTGACACAGCTGGCAAGTGGCAGTCTTACTTCGGAACCACACCAAACTCTGTGCTATTCATTTCGAAGGTTTTTGTCATGCTACAACTGGCTGTGTAGGGCTGTTACTTAAAGAGGCAGCTGGGAGTATGCGTTGGAGAAAAGAGTGGTTCATTTCACTGGCACTAAAACATAAAAAGCAACCAATGACAAAAACCCTGAGTCTTATAGATTGCCACACTGCTGTCTTCTCTGAGACCCTTCATGGCTCCCCTCTACTAAACAAAGCCAAGATCCTCAGCCTGGTGTTCCAGAGCTTCCTTAGTCTTGTCAATTAGCCCTAGAAAGGGCTTTCTCTTATACTATGGGAACTTCTAAAACCATCTCTCCCATCATTTCATACCCATCTGGGAGGCTGTTATGGGATGAATTGTGTCCCCTAAAAAAGATATGTTGAAGTCCAAATCCCCATGCCAGAGCGTGAGCTTGTTAGGAAATAGGGTCAGTGCAGAAGTAATTAGTTAAGATGAAGTCATACTGGAGCAAGGGTGGGCTCTAAATCTAATATGACTAGTGTCCTTATATGAAGAAGGCCACATGAAAACAGAGGCAAACAGGGAGAACGCTATGTGACTATGGAAGCAGAGATTGGAGTTATGTGTGGCTGTAAGTCAAGGATTGTCAAAGATTGCCAGCAAACCACTAGGAGCAGGAAGAGGCAAGGAAGTTCTCTGGCAGGTTGCAGAGGGAGCATGGCCCTGCTGACACCTTGATTTTGGACCTCTAGCCTCCAGAATTGTGAGAAGATACATTTCTGTTGTTTTGAGCCATCCAGTTTGTAGTACTTTGTTACAGCAGCCCTAGGAAACTAAAACAGAGCCTTGGCCAGTTAACTCCATCACTGCAGATTTGAGTCCAAGATGTATGGGAGGGCCTTCTTTCTCTTGTTCCATTTCTTTGCTCTCAGCGGGCAGTGGCATCCTTGGCTGTTTGCTTACATAACACACAGACAACACACCCATGACATTCCCCCTATCTCTTAATGCAGACAGCACACCAGTAGTCTGTTTATTTCCCGACATGCCCTGTGCAGGGCTGGTACAGGTCCCCTGCCCCCTGCCTCTTCCTGGCTCAGGGCCAGCCCAACCCCTCTGGGGAGACAGTAGATTGAAGCCCCTTTCTGGGTTGCCTAGGCGACAGTGCCGTCTGAGTGCCCTGGAGCCAGGCAGCTGTGGCTGCAGGGAAGCGAGGGACCAAGGGAAGCTGGGGGTCAGAAAGGAGGATTAGGGGAAAGACCCAAAGAGAGTCCTTTAAAGTGGCTCTAGAACAAACACAAAAGGTAAAATTAAAACTGCAGCATCACCATAACCAGTGTTATAGAGCAATATGCCGGACTTGAGATGGAAAGGAAAAGGCTTCCCTCAGGGAATTCTATACGGAGCTTAGCTCTATGGGTCTCGGAGTCCAAGCCCCATTCAAACTTATGCTTTGAGGCCTTCTGGCAGCACAAGAGATCAAAAGATGACAAAACCCAGGCAAATAGGGACTGGCATTTTGCACAGCAAGGGCAAGTCTTCTATAAACAGCAGTAAGATACACAGTGAATGAAGAAAGATGCTTGCAGTTTTTTGGTTCACAATTAAGTGATGTCTGCTGTGTGTAGGGAAACATGCTGGGTGCTATGTATGAAGAGTGAGGATACAGACAGAAACACAATGCCATTCTTGCCCTCAAGAAGCCCATAGTCCTTCCTTAACCCAATCATTACTTCAAGAATGGACTTCTGCTGGGCGCAGTGGCTCACGCCTGTAATCCCAGCACTTTGGGAGGCTGAGGTGGGCAGATCACCTGAGGTCAGGAGTTCAAGACCGGCCTGGCCAACATGGTGAAACCCCATCTCTACTGAAAATACAAAAAAATTAGCCAGGAGTGGTGATGCATGCCTATAGTCTCAGCTACTCGGGAGGCTGGGGCAGGAGAATCGCTTGAACCCGGGAGGTGGAGGTGCATTGAGCTGAGATCAAGCCACTACACTCCAGCCTGGGCAACAGAGCAAGACTCTGTCTCAAACAAACAAAAAAAGAATTTCTAAGGCTGGGCACAGTGGCTCACGCCTGTAATCCCAGCACTTTGGAGGCCGAGGCGGGTGGATTGCTTGAGGTCAGGAGTTCGAGACCAGCCTGGCCAAGATGGTGAAACCCCGTCCCTGCTAAAAATACAAAAAAAAAAGAGCCAGGCAAGGTGGTGGGTGCCTGTAATCCCAGCTACTCGGGAGCTAAGGCAGGAGAATCGCTTGAACCTGGGAGGCAGAGGTTGCAGTGAGCCGAGATCGCACCACTGCACTCTAGCCTGGGTGACAGAGCAAGACTCCGTCTCAAAAAAAAAAAAAAATCAACTTATATAATAGCAAGCTGGAATGCTCCAAGGCAATTCTTCTCAGTCCAGGGGTTAGAAAGGGCTTCAGAGAGGCATGGGACTCAATCCTAAGTCACTCAGGTCATCACATCTCCCTGGTCACAGATCAGTATAAGGTAAGCAAGCATATACCCAATCTTAGCTGATACAAAGTAGTGAGACTTTTTGTTAGGATTGCTGAGAGGGTTACGTGTTTTCTCTTCTGTGCCAGGAGCTGCCATCACTGTCTCATCACTGCATGGAGTCTAGTATGAAACCAACATGGTGGTAAGCACAGCTGAGAGACAGAGGAAGATTGGGAGCTGACACATCATTCAAGTCCCTGAATCAAGTCATGCCAGATCCACCCCAGGCTTTGGATTATGAAAGCCAATACAGCCTGTTTCTTTTTTTCTTTTTTTTTTTTTGAGACCGAGTCTCGCTCTGTTGCCCAGCCTGGAGTGCAGTGGTGCCATCTTGGCTCATTGCAACCTCTGTCTCCTGGGTTCAAGTGAGTCTCGTGCCTCAGCTTCCCAAGTAGCTGGAATTACAAGCATATGCCACCACGCCCTCATAATTTTTGTATTTTTACTAGAAACGGGGTTTTACCATGTTGGCCATGCTGGTCTCAAATTCCTGGCCTCAAGTGATTCGCCTGCCTCGGCCTCCCAAATTGCTAGGACTACAGGTGTGAGACACTGCACCCAGCCGAGTCTATGTTTCTTAAAGTGGTTTATGTACTTCCAATTCAAAAGGTTCAAAAAAGATACATTAGAAACTCTTTTAACCGATTAATTGTATTAACCAATGCCCTCTATTCCGTCTGTAAAATATACTAATTTACACCCATGTGCACTGAATGCTCATAGCTGGTAAACTAGTTTCTGGGACTTACTGAGCCTACCAATTGAGAAGTTTCTCCACAAATCTGTTTGTGTTAGTTTTATTTATTACAGAAATTACATTACATAATTAAATATTAAGTAAACTGTGGAAACACAAGTGCAAGTGTAAAGATTGTTCCTGCTTCTATGAAAATTCAGCTAAATGTTTTGAAAGACTTGATAAAGGTATTTCTTTTTTTTGAGATGGAGTTTCACTCTTGTTGCCCAGGCTGGAGGGCAATGGCATGATCTCGGCTCACCGGGTTCAAGTGATTCTCCTGCCTCAGCCTCTGGAGTAGCTGGGATTACAGGCATGCGCCACCACGCCCGGCTAATTTTGTATTTTTAGTAGAGATGGGGTTTCTTCATGTCGGTCAGGCTGTTCTCAAACTTCTGACCTCAGGTGATCTGCCCGCCTCTGCCTCCCAAGGTGCTAGGATTACAGGCGAGAGCCACTGCACCCGGCCGATAAAGGTATTTCAAAATTGCTTTGGGGGCCAGGTGTGGTGGTATACGCCTGTAATCCCAGCACTTTGAGAGGCTGACGGGGGAGAATCACTCGAGGCCAGGAGTTTGAGACCAGCATGGGCAGCACAGTGAGACCCCATCTCTACAAAAACTTCTTTTAAAAATTGCTTTGGGGTTAGATATGGATAGACACATCATTAGAAATGAAATAATAGGCTGCGCGTGGTGGCTCATGCCTGTAATCCCAGCACTTGGGGAGGCCGAGGCCGGCAGATCACAAGGTCAGAAGATCGAGACCATCCTGGCTAACACGGTAAAATCCCGTCTCTACTAAAAAATATATATATAAAAAATTAGGCTGGGCACAGTGGCTCATGCCTGTAATCCCAGCACTTTGGGAGGCCGAGGCGGGCGGATCACCTGAGGTTGGGAGTTTGAGACCAGCCTGACCAACATGGAGAAACCCCATCTCTACTAAAAATACAAAATTAGCCGGGCATGGTGGCACATACCTGTAATCCCAGATACTAGAGAGGCTGAGGCAGGAGAATCGCTTGAACCTGGGAGGTGGAGGTTGTGGTGAGCTGAGATCACGCCATTGCACTCCAGCTCGGGCAACAAGAGCGAAACTCTGTCTCAAAAAAAAAAAAAATTAGCTGGGCATAGTGGCAGGTGCCTGTAGTCCCAGCTACTGGGGAGGGTGAGTCTGGAGAATGGTGTGAACCCGGGAGGCGGACCTTGCAGTGAGCCGAGATCGCGCCACTGCACTCCAGCCTGGGTGACAGACACTCAAAAAAAAAAAAAAAATAGAAATGAAACAATAAAAACATAGATGGATTTTACACTCAGCTTTGGAAAAGTCTTTCAGTTCTTTTTCCCCCTCTAAAGAAACCAATGCTGAAAATAGTAGATGATGCATATTGGGTGAGAAAGAGCATGAATTGTCTCTTAAGAAGCCTTGCAGTTTCCACCTGGGAACACTTGCTCTGGGGAAAGCCAGGCACTATGTAAGAAGTCTTATCTATTGTCGATGAAAAGAGTCAAACTCTGTAAAATATTTTGAGATTTATTCTGGGCCAAATATGAGTGACCGTGGCCTGTGACACAGCCCTCAGGAGATCCTGAGACCTGATGTTTCCTGTCTTCCAAAAATGTATAAAAGTCTGAGGTGGTTAGGGCACAGCCTGGTTTTATACATTTTTGGGAGACAGGAAACATCAATGAAATACATTTAAGATGTACATTGGTTTTTGGCGGAGGGGGGGCCTTCCAGGCTATAGGTAGATTTAAATATTTTCCAGTTGATAATTGGTTGAGTTTATCTGAAGACCTGGGATCAACAGAAAGGAAATGTTTAGGTTAGGATTGTGGAGACAAGTTTTATTGTGCAGAGGAAGCTCTCAGATAGCAGACTTCAGAAAGAACAGGTTGTAAAATGTTTCTTATCCGATGTAAAAGGGTGCCTGGCTCTTAGTTGATTATCTCCTGGATCTGGAAATGAAGGAAGGAAAAAAACGGGAAAGGGGTTTCTCTATGGAATGTGGATTTTTCCCACAAGAGACAACTTTTCAGGGCAATGTCAAGATATGGCAAGGAATTATATTTAGGGTTAAAATATTTTGATTTCTTCCCTTATTTGTTATGTGATGTTATGCCAGAGTCAGGTTAGAAAACAGACCACACTATACAGAGTTAAAATGAAAACCCCTCTGATGAGACTTTATGGTTTGTAGGGCATGAGTCCCCAGGGCCCTTAGGTAGGAATTTGGACAAACTAAAAAATCAGAGTTTAATCTTCACTATATTGAGTCTACCATGCTGTTAGGGAGCCCAAGCCAGTCACATGGAGACAGAGAGTTGCCCTATTAACCTCCAGCTGTTCCAGCCATCCTTTCGAGATGCCAGACAAGTGAGTGAAGAAGCCTTCCTGGATGTCTAGCCCAGTCAAGCTTTCAGATGAGTCCAGCCCTAGACACCATTTACTGAAACATCAGAGATCCCAAGTGAGAACCACCCAACTGAGCCTAGTCTACCCACAGAACCATGAAAAATAACAATAAATTTTTAAAAGCCTCTAAATATATTAGAGTGGTTTGTTATACAGCAATGGATAGCCAGTCTTTTGTAGATGAAAGGAGAGAGTTACAAGAAAGAGGAGGTGGCTGCTATTGTCAAATACCATGAAGAGATCATGGAGGATGAGAACTGAGAAAAGACCATTGTATTTGGCAATTGAGAAGCCAGCATTGTCTTTCAAGCATGTAGTTAATAGAATGGTAGGAGCAGAAGTCAAATTGGAAGTGTTTGTAGAGCAAGTGAATGGTGGGAAATAGATACAATGGTAGATTGGTCTTTTTTCTTTCTTTTTAAATAGTTTAACATTCACTGATGATCCTTGCTTGAATCAATTATCTCATTGGAGATTGCAAAATGGTAAGTTTTTAATTCTATCAATCCTTCTACATTTATTAGATGACATTCTTCTGTAAAGAAGAATTTCCTCTCATCAATTGGGGATGAACCTCATTTCTTCCTAAAATGGCAGGTTAAATGCTTCATTCTTTCTCTTTAATTACCAATTTCCTGACAAAGGAGTTGGTGTCATAGTATTTCCAATAGTGGCAAATGAATTTTTTCCTCCTTTCTCTTTTCTTGCTCTTTGAGCATCATTATGGACTCATGCATTACATTTATTCAATGTATTACAATCAATTACAGACTCAATTAGTCTTTAAAGAAGCCATAGAGGATAGGGCTAAGGATGTGATCAGAAAATTCCTAGAATACTGTGGTTGAAGAAACACACACACACACACACACACACACACCACACACACACATTTATCCTTACCAATAATAAAAATATGAAAGCAAAAACTATATAACAGAGAAAAAAATATAAAATTCCAATTCTGATACTATATATACAACCCTCCTAAAATTCTCACACAGGTTCTATAAGGGGTATGTATAAAGACAGTTATGGCAGTGATGTTTTTGGTTGTAGGCAATTTGGGTGTCCCTAATGAAGAAGACCTTAGGCAAAATGTGATGGGTGGAGTAATATGCAGTAGATAGAAGCAATGGGCCAGATCTTAAAAACATGCTGCAGCAAAAAAGAAAAATAAGAAAAAAAAATGTGTCTTACAATGTTATTTACAAAAGAAAAAAATACACACATCTAAGAAAATAGTACATATTTTATCCTACTACTATTTTTTTTTTTTTGAAAAATCTCTTTGTTGGGAGGTTTTGGTTTTGGTTTTGTTTTGAAAGAGTGTCATTACGTCACCCAGGCTGGAGTGCAATGGTGCAATCTCAGCTCACTGCAACCTCCACCTGCCGGGTTCAAGGGATTTTGGTGTCTCAGCCTCCTGGGTAGCTGGAATTACAGGCGTGCACCACCACGCCCAGCTAATTTTTGTATTTTTAGCAGAGACGGGGTTTCACCATGTTAGCCAGGCTGGTCTCAAAGTCTTGACCTCAAGTGATCTGCCTGCCTTGGCCTCCCAAAGTGCTGGGATTACAGGCGTCAGCCACCATGTCCAGCCCAATACTACATATTTTAAATAAACACAAACAAAAGGATATACATGAAACACATCGGAATAATTGCCTGTGGTGAGAAAGGGGAATGAGATTAGTGAATGTGAATAAAAGAGAATAAATAAATATAACAAATGAGAGTGGCCTTACAAGTGAGAAATATGACCAATTCAATCCCTTATATTTAAATAAAAATAAATGATTAAACAAATAAATTGCTATGATCTCTCTGGAAATTAGAACTTTTCAAAACATTGAATTAGCAATTCCACCTTTAGGAATGTGGCCTAAGGAAATAGAAACTAATGTTTATTAATGTGATAATAGTGAGGAAAAATGCTCAGCATGTTTTCTTTCGCTCTGGCTCTCACCCTGCAATTTACATCCCCAAGCATTTCAGGGAAACCATATAGTTGTCTCACATGTGCTTGTGATGTGTTTGTGAAGGAAAGTAGTCATGTGGTATTGGTGGTTCATTTCATCTCCTGCCTCAGCCCCTTCCACTTGGCATTGCTATTTTCACTTCCTTTGCTGAGCATGGTTACAAATTCCATTGGGTCTACCTTATCTGGATTCCTTCAGTTGCTAAGGCTGCAAAGTATTACTCTGTAATACTCTGAAATACCATCTTGCTCCTCTTCTGGTTTTATATGCTATTAGGTCTATCATTGTCTTATCGTTTTTCATGAAATAGCCCCTTCAGTATTTTCTTTTCTTTTCTTTTCTTTTCGAGACCGGAGTCTTGCTCTGTCGCCCAGGTTGTGGTGCAGTGGCACGATCTCGGCTCACTGCAAGCTCCGCCTCCCGGGTTCACGCCATTCTCCTGCCTCAGCCTCCTGAGTAGCTGGGACTACAGGCGACCACCACCACCACGCCCGGCTAATTTTTTGTATTTTTAGTAGAGACGGGGTTTCACCGTGTTAGCCAGGATGGTCTCGATCTCCTGACCTCGTGATCCGCCCACCTCGGCTTCCCAAAGTGCTGGGATTACAGGCTTGAGCCACCGCACCCGGCGCCCCTTCAGTATTTTCTTACAATTTCTCTCCTCCACTCCCTCATTAACCCCCAAATAAAATAATGATTTACAAGCCAGGCTGGGGCAAATACAAGTAAACAGACATTGTGCTAAGCTTGAAAGTGAAATAGGGAGTGCGAATCAGAACTACAATGAGATACCACTTCACATCCATTAGGAAGGCTATTATGAAGAAAAAGGTAGGGGTGGGGGTGGAATAACAAGTGTTGGCAAGACTGTGGATAAATTAGAACCCTTATGCATTGCTGGTGGGAATGCAAAAATGGTGCAGCCCCTATAGAAAACAGTCTGGTGCTCAAAAAGTTAAGCACAGAGTTACCATTATGATGCGGTAATTCTTCTCCTAGGTATATACTCAAAAGAACTAAAAGCAGTAAGGCCAGGCTTGGTGGCTCACGCCTGTAATCCTAGCACTCTGGGAGGCCGAGGCAGGCGGATTACCTGAGGTTGGGAGTTCAAGACCAGCCTGACCAACATGGAGAAACCCTGTTTCTACAAAAAGTACAAAAAATTAACCAGGTGTGGTGGCGTATGCCTGTAATCCCAGCTACTCAGGAGGCTGAGGTAGGAGACTCATTTGAACCTGGTAGGTGGAGCTTGCGGTAAGCTGAGATTGCGCCATTGCATCCCAGCCTTGGCAAAAACAGCAATACTCTTGTTGCCAAAATAAATAAAAATAAAATAATTAAAACAAAAATAAATAAAAATAAAACAAAAAGGAAGGAAATTCTAATACATACTGTCACATGAATAAACCTTGTAAACATTATGCGAGTGAAATAAGCCAGAAAGACACAAAAAGACAAATATTGTATGGTTCCACTTGCATTAGGTATCTAGAATAATCAAATCTGTAGAGACAGAAAGTAGAATAGACATACCAGGGGCTGAGGGGAGGAGGGAACTGAAAGTTATTTAATGGGTTTCTGTCTGGGATGGTGATGAAGATGTTCTGGAAACGGATAGTGGTGATGGTTTTACAACATTGTGAATACAGTTTTCTTTCTTTCTTTCTTTCTTTTTTTTTTTTGAGACAGAGTCTCGCTCTGTCGCCTGACTCTGGCTGGAGTGCAGTGGTGCGATCTCAGCTCACTGCAACCTCCACCTTCTGGGTTCAAGCAATTCAATTATCTGCCTCAGATTCCTGAGGAGCTGGGATTACAGGTGCCCACCACCAAGCCCAGCTAATTCATTGTGAATATAGTTAATGCCACTTGAAATTACAATTATACACTTGAAAATGGTTAAAATAATAAATTTTACATAATATATTTTACCACAATTTATTTATTTTTTATTTATTTATTTTTTTTGAGATGGAGTTTCGCTTTTGTTGCCCAGGCTGGAGTGTAATGGCGCGATCTTGGCTCACCGCAACCTCCGCCTCCCGGTTTCAAGAGATTCTCCTACCTCAGCCTGCTGAGTAGCTGGGATTACAGGCACGCGCCACCGCGCCCAGCTAATTTTGTATTTTTAGTAGAGACGGGGTTTCTCCATGTTGGTCAGGCTGGTCTCGAACTCCCGACCTCAGGTGATCTGCCCACCTCAGCCTCCCAAAGTGCTGGGATTACAGGTGTGAGCCACTGCACCTGGCCCACAATTTTTTTTAATGGAAAAAAAGGAATGGGCAATCCTTCTATTGTGCCTCTCCTTTGCATATCTTTGGATCCCCATCTCAGAGGACATTAGTAATTGTATAGTGGTGACTCTAGTCCAATTGCTTCAGCCCTTCTGCTTTATGTGGAGAGTCACAGAAATAATCTGATTTAACCGGGGTCATAGTTCTCTGCTCTTCATAGTTCTCTGTATTATCTGTTAATATTTTCAGGAATGGCACCACCGTCACTCAGTTGTCCAAGTGAAAAATCTTTGTTATCCTTGAATCAATCTCATCTTCCTCAAGCCTTGTTGATTCTACCACCTTAAAATCTCTCTATTCCTGCTATCTCTGCTTTAGTTCAGGTCACTTTCACCCCATGCCTAAAACTTTTTAGCCAGTTTTCTTCTCTTTTGGTTCTCCTCTATCTTAGGCTGTTTTCTGTTGCTTATTTATATATAACACAATAACTGAAACTAGGCAATATATAAAGAAAAGGAATGTATTTCTTACAGTTGCAAAGTCTGAGAAGTCTGAGGTTGATAGGCTACATTTCGTGAGGGTTTTCTTGCTGCTAGGGACTCTGCACAGTCCTGAGGTGGCACAGGGCATCACGTGGTGAAAGGGCTTAACATCCTTGCTCAGGTCTCTTTTCTTCTTATAAAGGCCAGTCCCATTCCCATGATAGCCCATTAATCCATGTATGGATCAATACATTCATGAGGGCTCTACCAATCACCTCTTAAACGCTCCGTCTCTCAATACTACCATATTGGCGATTAAATTTTTTATTTTTATTATTTATTTATTTATTTATTTGAGACAGAATCTCGCTTTGTCAGCCAGGCTGGAGTGCAGTGGCACGATCTCGGCTCACTGCAACCTCTGCCTCCCAGGCTCAAGCAACTCTCCTGCCTCAGCCTTCCGAGTAGCTGGGATCACAGGGGTGTGCCACCACGCCCGGCTAATTTTTGTATTTTTAGTAGAGATGGGGTTTCACCATGTTGGCCAGGCTGGTCTTGAACTCCTGACCTCAGGTGATCCCCCCGCCTCGGCCTCCCAAAATGCTGGGATTACAGGCGTGAGCCACTGTGCCCGGCCTGGGGATTAAATTTCAACATGAGTTTTGCAAGGGACAAATATTCAAACCATAGCACCCTCCAATCCATTTTCTACACAGCAGCCAGAGTTTTTCCGAAATACGATCTAATCACATCATTTCCTCATTATGTGCTCAATGGCTCACTTTTGTTATTCAGGTTAAGTTCAAATTCCTCAATGTGGCACTCAAGACTCTTCATGATTTGGTCTTGTCTTAACTAAATTCCAGTCTGTTCTTTTCTTATCACTCATCACCCGGGCTGTACTCCAGTCCTATTAAACCTGTCGTTGCCTAAACCCCAATGCTCATCTCTCTTCCTGATCATCATTGGGGGACGCAAAGTTAAGAGCTAAAGATCGCAACCAACATGAATGTGGTCCATTCTTTATTTTGTTTCCCTAAACTGGCAAGGTGAGGTGGCCCAAGGCTTTGCCTGGTCCTCTCCCTTTATTTCTTCCTGTTTCTTCCTGGCCTCAAGGCATCCTTGGATGGGCTCCTTTGGTTACTGGATTAAACTGCTCATCTGTCCGTTCTCTTCTAGGGCTGGTGGTCAAGGCATTTGCTCAAATTGGGGTTTTAAGAGCTGAAACTGGGGTTTGGACTTTGGCACAGAAATAGATCCAATGTTGCTCAAGGCTGCTGAGACCTATCGGAGGAAAGAAGGTGCCTCCGTGCAGTAGTTGACAGGTGTTCTACAGTGGGCACTGGGACCCAAGCTCCAGCAAGTAATATACTACCTGCTTCCTCTGTGACCAAAAAGTCAAGGATGGGATTCAGAAAATCTTACGTCCCCTGGCCAAATACAATCTTAATGTTTTCCCAGTCCACTTTCCCCCAACCTGCCCCCCTTGGTGAACTCCTGCTCATCCGTAAGTTTTTAACTTCTAAAAATATCTCACTGTCCTCCAATGAGATTGTAAACTCTTTGAAGGCCTCGACTGTATCTTTTTTATTCTTGTATTCCCAGTGTCTAGCATTGCTGATGACAGAAAGACCAGCACGAATGAAAGATCAGGCACCTATTAAGTGTCAGCATGGAATTTGAAATGTCTGTTGTCAAAGATTCAAATAGAGCTCTTTCTCTCTCTGCTCAGTGGAGAATGGCTGAGGATAAGGTTTTATTGAAATGATCCACTCAGCAGTTTAGCTGCACCCTGGCCCACCCACGTGCCTGCACTTTAGAGGTACCCCTAACACATGGTTGTTTATTTTGCTCCTCTACGGCTTTGAAATGAGAGCCAGACAAACATGAGGAGGAAACGGTTTCAGTGACCAACATCACATCCAAGTGGAGGAGGGCCCAAAGGGGGTCACCAACTCGCAGAATTCTTCCCCTCACAGGAAAGCCGTTGGGACAGGTCAAAAGCCTTTCCTTACCTCACACCCTCCCCATCTTTTGAGACTAGGCCCAGCTGGGCTGGATGTTTCTATCTAAGTCTTCTAACAACAAGGGCATGTAAAGTGAGAAAGTCAGAGAAAGGGGCGAGGGGCCAGGGCTGAGCCTGGCTGGTTCCTGCTCAGCATTCAAGATGGTCTCGGGGACTCAGGGACTGCAGCTCGTTTCCATCTCTTTCGTTTCTGCCTCTGCTGTTCTCTCTGGGTCCGCGGGGACTAATTTATCACTGAAACGCAGCCTAAGAACAGAAGGGAGAGTTTCTTTCCTAAGTGTCTGAAAGGGAAAAACTTTGAGGAAACAGCCAAGAGAGGCAGAGGAGGGGAGAGGAGGCTGCGTCTCCAGTGCGGGGAAGCGGAGGAGGGAGTCTGGCAGGCGGGCTGCGAGCAGTAGCTATCTGGGCCGAGTTCCGGCCCCCTCGCGGGCGCGAACCCCTGCGCAGCGGAGCCCAAGCGCAGCCCCAGCCTGGGTCGCGCGAGGCCTGGCCCCAGAGGCCCGCGGCCGCGCCTCAGGGGCGGGCCTGGGGCGGGGCAGCCCCTGCAGCAGGGCTCTCCCGGCGGGTGGCCCGCGCTCTGCCTCCCCTTCTCAGGGAGCGGCGGAGACTGAGGATACCCCTCGGCGCCGCCCTCCCGCCCCCGGAGCCGCGGCTGAGGAGCCCCGCGCCCATTGGCGGCCGCGGCTCGGCGTCCCCGCCCCCTCCACGTCCCCGCCCCCTCCGCCGCCGCCGCCGCTTCCCGGCTCCGCCTCCTCCCCCTTCGGGAGCCGCCTCCGTCGCCGCCACCGCTGCTGCCGGCCGGGGCCCAGCCAGCGCCTGCCGCGCCGGAGTCGAGTCGCAGCCGGAGCCGCTGCTCGCGGCCCCGCCATGAGCGGAAGCGCGGCCGCCGCGGTCGCTGCCGCCGCCGCCTCAGCAGCCGCCGCCGCCGCGCACTTTCAGCCTCAGTCGTCGTCTCCCAGGCCGGGCCCCGCCGAGCTTGGGCCCCCGCGCCGCCCGCGCCCCCCACCGCCGCCGCCCCGGCCGGAGCCCGCCGCCACGGACCGCCTCAGCCCTCCGGGCCACGGGCCTCTCCGGGCGGGAGCCCAGGGTGGCGGCGCCTGCGGCCGAGCGCCGGGAGCAGGTACGGGGTCCCGGAGCGGGCCAGGCAGGGAGGGGCGTGGGTCGGTCCCGCGGGTGGGGGCCGGAGGCGTGTGGTCCAGGCGCCCGGCCCCGCCGACGGGGAGGAGCGTTGTCCGGGTCAGCTTTGTCCGGCCCCGGAGCCCCTGCGAGCCCTGCGCCTCAGCCGCGCCGAGCGCTCACAAAGCGTTTTCCCACCCGGTGGGTAGCCCCCTCCCCCAGGGTGTGCAGGGCAGGACCTCTCTAGGTCTCTGCTCGGCGGAGGAGGAAACCGAGGCTTAGAGGGGGAAGTGACTTGCCCAAGGTCACATAGCCAATGAGAGCCGTAGCTTGGCTGGGACCCAGGGCCACCCTGGGCCGGCGCGGGCCCCGAGCAGAGGGGGCTGGGAAGAGGTCGATCCCCCGGCCCCCAGGAGCCGAGGGAGACAGATCTCGGGGGAGGGGGTCAGGCCCTGGACCCTGGCACACCCACCCAGCCCTTTTTGGGCTGGTTTGGGAGTAATGATCTCTTACGGGGTGGGACGGAAGAGCAGGGGGCCGACTTGGGAGCTTGGTGGTGCCCTGGGGAGCCGCAGCGGGAAAGACTTCTGTGCGGGGTGTGCTCTCGGGGAGAGGGCTTTCTTGAGTGAGTGGGGCAGAGCTTCGGAAACTTCTTATCGTGGGGACCGTTTGGTCTCTGCCAGGCCACCTTCCCCACCACTGCACTGACTAAACCAATTCAGCTGGAATTACTGGGAGGGAGGCCTGCCCGCTTTTGTGGAGGCGCCCGTAAGGTGTCTTTTTTCAGTAAATGGCCCGAATTTCGTTCATGCCGAAACCAGAAATGCATACATGGCCTTGGTAAAGACGTTTACGGCACAGAAGGCCATGTGAGTTTTTTCCAGGTGGTTTGGACCTACCACACTTGGAGAACTCCCCGAGAAAGAACAGCTATCCCAGGCTTGAAGGGGGAAGGAAGCTGGGAGGATTGGGACCGAGTCACCCGCCTGCCTGGCATGTAATACATGGGATTTCCGTTTTTATTTGGGGTGGATGATGAGGTGGGTTGTTTTGACTGCGGATGTCCCTTGGAAGGGGAAAGGACTTGCAGTTCTAGAGGGAAGGGAGAGAGCAACGTGTTACAGGCAGGGACGAGGGTCCCGTGGAGCTAGAAAATAGAATGGGGAAAAAGGAGAGGGTATTCAGTCATTGTGGGGGAAGGGAGATGAAAGGGTTGCTGAAGGGCGGGGGACGGTGTCTAGTCTGGAGAAAAAGATTGGGATGTTTCAAAGAAGGTGCCAAACGTGATGAGTTTGAAAGGAGTCTGTTGGAGGTGGATGGTAGCTTACAAGGTTGAGTGTGAATTGGTCTGCAGTCACTTATTTTCTTTTAGTAAGGACAGCTATACTTTTATAGAAACGTTCTAGCTTGAGCACCCCCTCCCCCTCATTCTCGCTCTTGTTCTAAGGATGCAGACCCACAGGGCCTGGAGTATTGTCTTGGAAGTAAGGCTTGACAAAAGAGGGAAGGGAAAGACTAATTAACAAATGCATTAATTAAGGCCCTTTGTCCAAGATGATTCCTTGTTTAAGTCAGCTGTTTTCTTGCTGCCCTCTTGCACCTTAGCTTTCCTGCTGTGGTGGCTGTTGGCAGGGTGCTTTGGGAAGGACTGCCCCAATTCAGACAAGATGGGTTAGATTTTCCTAAAAAACTCTAAGACACACATATTTGGCAAATGTATACTTAAAAGCAAGAAAATGTACTTGTGAGAGACTTACAATCAGGGAAATGCAAATTGAAACAACACTGAGATGACATTTCACACCGATCAGGTTGGCAAAAATGTAGTGCTGTGATAAACCGAGGATTATTAAGGTTGTGGATAGATAAGCTTGTATATAGTGTAGTGGAAATGTAAATGGATCCAACCACCTTAGAGAGTAGTGGTATTTGGTGTTTAGTGTGAAGGTGGGCAGACATATTCATTTACCTAAAATGTCCATTTCTGGGTGTGTGTGTGTATATATACCCTAAGAGATCCTTGTACACTTGTTCAAGAAAATAAGTATGAAAAAAATACAAGAATGCTCATTCCAGCTTAAATGTCCACCAACAGAAGACTACATATATTTTTATTTATTATTTATTTGTTTGTTCGTTTGTTTTGAGACGGAGTCTCTCTGTCACCCAGGCTGGAGTGCAGTGGCGTGATCTCGCCTCACTGCAAGCTCCGCCTCCCTGGTTCACACCATTCTCCTGCCTCAGCCTCCCGAGTAGCTGGGACCACAGGCGCCCGCCACCATGCCCGGCTAATTTTTTTTTGTATTTTTAGTAGAGACGGGGTTTCATCGTGTTAGCCAGGATGGTCTCGATCTCCTGACCTCGTGATCTGCCCGCCTCTGCCTCCCAAAGTGCTGGGATTACAGGCGTGAGCCACCGCGCCCGGCCAATACATACATTTTTAGATAGACCCATACAGTTGAATATTACAGCTGTGAAAAATAAACTAGCCTCACTCATTAAAATAGGTGAATCTCAAAAACCATATGGAACAGGGAAGCAAGTCAGAAGAATTCTTACAGAATCGTTTCACGTGTGTAAAATCTGAAAACATGAAAAATAATATTGTTTGTGGCTATGCCCATATGTGGTGATAGTATTAAATTATGCATATTAAGTGTAATGATTGTCTTTGGGAAGAGAAGATGAGGAATGGGATTACACAAGGGTACCCAAAAGGGCTTTATTTATACCTTTAATGTCCTATTACTTAAAAAAAATCTGAATCAGGTAATCGTAAATTAAGATTTGGTAATGTTGGGTGTAGGGTATAGAGATATTTAGTATACTCTAAATATTTTTCAGATGTTTGAAATATTTCTCACACAAAAATTTTGTTTATAGAACACAGTTTTTGTTTCATAATAATGGACCTCTCCTACAGGCTCCAGCCTAGCGCAGCCTGTTAGACATGCAGGCTGGTGATCCTTTTTCGCCCCTTTCTGACCTGCTAAACCTAGTTTTGCAGTGGATGACTTTTATTTTGGAACTGCTGATAGTTGCGGTAGATTTCTCATTATTTCTAAACTTTCTATTGGACCTGTGTCAGCAGTTTGAGCTTTGTTGAAATAGATGTGCTCCAGGACATTCTGATATATCAGGTGTAGGGAGGGACCCAGACATCTGATTCTGAGAAAACTCCCCAGTAGATTGGGATGCCCACTAAAGTTTGAGAACCACTATCTTGGGTTTGCCCCAGCCTAGTCCTCATCTTTTCCTTAGGCTGCCCCTCTGTTCCCACTCCTGGATGACTGGGATGGAATTTTGACCCACGTGATACTTTACCTCTTTTGTGGAGCATAAAAGAATGATAGGGTTGGATGCCATACCCCTCTTAATCTAGGTTGTCCATTCCTCTGATTTTCATGGAGTTAGCTAAGGGGCCCACTACCTACCAGGGTTGTTTATCAGGTTTTACAGATTTTAACACATGTGTCAACTGTATGTGGTTTCAAAGTAAGGGCAAAAAGGGTCTAGCAGAGAAGGAAAATTTGGAGAAAGTAAAACCCCCAAAGGTAAACATGTCATTATGTCTTAAGAGAAAGATGATCCATCCCTCTGCAGATGCTAGTGATTGTTTTAGCTTGTGACCAACATTTGAGGTTCAGCCGTCTGAACCTATGGTCAGAGATTAAGGTCTTTAGGAGACAACTGATTATCCCTCAAGATGGAAGAGTGTCCTTTCTCCAAAATTTGCTAGTTTTCCTTCTCTACTAGACCTTTCTTCCTTAGTCCTGATGTGTTTATGAATGAATTTATGTTAACAAATCTGAGGCTTTCTGATAGTGAAATTTGTGAAGTGCCTGTTTGTCTTTGTTAAGGTTCCTCTATCTGGAAACCCACTTTGGAGGTGCAGCATTGCCCAGGTACGCTTTTCTTTTTTTTTGAGACAGAGTTTCGCTCTTGTTGCCCAGGCTGGAGTGCAGTGGCGCAATCTCGGCTCACTGCAGCCTCCACCTCCCAGGTTCAAGCGATTCTCCTGCCTCAGCCTCTCGAGTAGCTGGGATTACAGGTGCCTGCCACCATGCCCGGATAATTTTCATATTTTTAGTAGAGACGGGGTTTCACCATGTTGGCCAGGCTGGTCTCAAACTCCTGACCTCTGTGATCAGCCTGCCTCGGCCTTCCAAAGTGTTGGGATTACACGCGTGAACAGCCGTGCCTGGCCGGTACACTTCTTAACGGTGCTGCTGTGTAGGACCATAGAGATTGCACCCAGCAAAAGGATACCTGTTTCAGGTGGCAAGTGAGGGTGGAAATCTATTCTGTACTCCACTTACCAAGATGAGTACCTGGTGTGGAACTGTGTGCACTCAGAGAAGGGGCACCTTTTCTAATCCACGCAAAGGTGATCTGTGATCTAGCACTGCTCTGCAGCTTTGGAACTGTCAGTCCAGCTGTAACTAACAGTTTCATCCATATGCATTGTGGGCTTTACCATGAGGTCTGGGTTAGTGCTTGCCCTAGGGGCTTCAAGAGTTCTCCATGTGAACTTTTCATGGGAAGGGGCTTTTCATCACCATGCTCAGCTGAACCAAAGAGCACAGCTTAAAATAGTAAACTTTGTTATGAGGCTGGAGAAATATGTACAGAATAAGCTATTTAGAAAATACCACTGTCAGCCTGGCGCAGTGGCTCACGCTTATAATCCCAGCACTTTGGGAGGCCGAGGTGGGTGGATCACCTGAGGTCAGGAGTTCAAGACCAGCCTGGCCAACATGGTGAAACCCCGTCTCTACTAACAATAGAAAAATTAGCTGGGCATGGTGGCGCATGCCTGTAATCCCAGCTACTTTGGAGGCTGAGGCAGGAGAATCGCTTGAACCCGGGAGGTGGAGGTTGCAGTGAGCTGAGATCACGCCACTGCACTCCAGCCTGGGCAACAGAGTGAGACTCTGTCTCAAAAAAAAAAAAAAAAAGGTCTGGGCACAGTGGCTCACACCTGTAATCCCAGCACTTTGGGAGGCCGAGGTGGGCGGATCACCTGAGGTCAGGAGTTCGAGACCAGCCTGGCCAACGTGGAGAAAGCCTGTTTCTACTAAAAATACAAAATTAGCCAGGCGTGGTGGCACATGCCTATAATCCCAGCTACTTGGGAGGCTGAGGCAGGAGAATCGCTTGAACCCAGGAGGCAGAGGTTGCTGTAAGCTGAGATTGCACCATTGCACTCCAGCCTGGGCAACAAGAGCGAAACTTCGTCTCAAAAAAAAAAAAAAAAAAAAAAGACAAAAGTATCTGGTAAATGGAGGAGAGAAAGTATAGTACCTATGTGCCACATTTGCGCTTGTCTTCTTACAGTGCTCACTTGAAGGGGTAAATGCAGTTATTTTTCTCTTCCTATTTCCCCCTGCACTAGCATTCCTGAAGACCTGAGGCTTTTTAGCTAATTTTGAAAATATTTACCCATTTGTATTTTCCATTAAGTGGTTGTTTACGCTTCCTGCTGTTTCATTTTTTCTTGGAGAGAGAGGAGGGGGGAGTACAAACCAAGGACAAGACCGGACTTCCTACTGCTTTTGGAAATAATGGCAGAGTTTTTCAGGACAGTTGTCGTGGATGAATGCTGTTCTGGGGGCTCAAGGGAAAGATACATTTGAAGTGGTTTCTGTTGTCTTTTTTATTATTATTTTTAAACATGATTGAGGGTGGTGGGATAGGAAGTTTCAATTTGCTTATGCTGCTGTCTTGGAGTAATTTTTTGAAAGAAATTATATGTTAAAAAACTAAAGATGTTTAACAAAAGTGGTCTTTTGCCCACAGAAGGGAAATAAACAATTCTTACCTGCAGGCCTTACCCAGACTGGTTTCAGTTTTTTTCCTGTTCTACTTAAATGGATATTAGCGCTGTTCTTGGGACTGCTGAGAACAGTTAACTGCAGTGATGTTGGACAGGTGGAAGAGTAGAATGATGGGAGTATATTGGGGTTTATCAATAGTTACGCTATCAAAAGCTATCACTAGCTGGTGTGGTGGCTCATGCCTGTAATCCCAGCACTTTGGGAGGTCGAGGCGGGTGGATCACCTGAGCTCAGGAGTTTGAGACCAGCCTGACCAACATGGTGAAACCCTGCCTCTACTAAAAATACAAAAATTAGCTGGGCGTGGTGGCACGCACGTGTAATCTCAGCTACTTGAGAGGCTGAAGCAGGAGAATCGCTTGAACCCAGGAGGCGGAGGTTGCAATGAGCCGAGATTGCACCATTGCACTCCAGCCTGGGTGACAGAGCAAGACTCTGTCTCAAAAAAAAAAAAAAAAGAAAGAGAAGAAAAAAAGCTATCACTGCATTTTCTGCTTTTGTGGTAAAATATGTATAGAAATAAGAGAGTGAGATATTGTGAGTTTTGGTGTATATACTGATCCTTTGACTTTGTTGAGAAATGTAGGGAAGTAGTAGTAAGAGGACCAAATATATACATGGAAGGGGCCGGGCGTGGCGGCTCACCCCTGTAATCCCAGCACTTTGGGAGGCCAAGGCGGGTGGATAACTTGAGCTCGAGTTTGAGACCAGCCTGGGCAACATGGTGAAACCCTGTCTTTACTAAAAATACAAAAATTAGCTGGGTGTGGTGGCACTTGCCTGTAATTTCAGCTGCTTGAGAGGCTGAGGCACGAGAATCGCTTGAGCCTGGGAGGCGGAGATTGCAGTGAGTTGAGATGGTGCCACTGCCCTCCAGCCTGGGGAACAGAGTGAGACCCTGTCTCAAAAAAAAAAAAAAAAAAAAAGAAAAAGAAAAAAACTGTATACATAGAATAGCAAGCAGTTAGGTAGTAGGACAATTTGTAGTGCTTTTGGGATGTTCTTGGAGTTGAAAAGTTGGCTGTCCATTCTGCTTCTGCACCTTGGATTTTAGTGGCTGCAGATGCTGCATGCTGACCTTCTGTTGAAATTTGTTTTATTGTCAGAGAACTAAAAAGTGAGCAGTTTCTCAGACTAAACAGAAGTAGAGTAGGCAGAAAGTAAAACAGGTATTCATTTAATAATCACATTTACAGGGCCAGTCGCAGTGGCTCACGTCTGTAATCTCAGCACTTTGGGAGGCTGAGGTAGGTGGATCACTTGAGCTCAAGAGTTTGAGACCAGCCTGAGCAACATGGTGAAACTCTGTCTCTACTAAAAATACAAAACTTAGCTGGGTGTGGTGGTGTGAACCTGTAGGCCCAGCTACTCGGGAGGCTGAGACAGGAGAATCACTTGAACCTGGGAGGTGTAGCTTGCAGTAAGCCGAAATCACGCCACTGCACTCCAGCCTGGGCGACAGAGTGAGACTCCATCTCAAAAAAATAAAAAAATAAAAATTCACATTTACAGATAGAGAAAAGTTGGAACTCATACTTAAAGAGACAGGGTCTTGCTATGTTGCCCATGGTGGTCTTGAACTCCTGAGCTCAAGTAATCCTCCTGCCTTGACTTCCCTAAGTGCTAGGATTACTACAGGAATGAGCCACTATGCCCGGCTGGGACTCATAATTAATAAAAAGTATTTTTCATTTGGCTTTTGTGCTATCTTATTAAAACTTTTTTTTTTATAGATTTGTCTTCCTATGTAGATTTTTATTGCCACCTCAATACATCTTTGAGCATCTACTGAGTGCCAGTAATGCCAATACCAACCACTGGTTAATTAGGATGATAGCTTTTGTTGTCAAAACTTCCTCACTTAAGGTCTTGAGAATCGCATAGAGGGGTGCAATTCAAGACAGTTATTGCTTGCTTTTCTCCCAAATTTCTTGCTTCCTTCTGCTCCCTGGTCTTCTGGGCATGGTGATTGTGCCCATCTGCCAAGATAAGCCCTGCTTCTCTCCACCCCCACATGGGAGGAGATGCAGAAGCTCAACAGAACCCTGGCTGGTCATTACAAGTAAATTCCCACAAACGATATTGAACTAGAACTGAGGGCCACCATAGTGGCTCCAGTTCCTCTTCCTCTGTTGCTACCACCCACTCTTTTCTGTGGAGCCTGGAGGGCACCCTCCCTCCACCATTATACAAAGAAGCTTTGTGCTCTGAGGATGTTCTAAAGGCGGGATTGCTGTAATTATAATTCCCTAGGCACAACCAAGTAGTGGGGGCAGGCGGGGTAAAGATGGTATCCAAGTACTTGTTGGTAGGGAGAAGTCAGGCAGGGATTAAAAATCATCTGGAGACAGTACCAAAAGTGGATAATGGAGCGTTGTTGTTAATAGTGACAGGAACGTGTTTAAGTGAATACATTTCAGAGTTTTAAATTATAATACTTGCAGCTTTAAAAAAGGACAAGACTGAGCTTGGAACCTTTCTCTTTAAGTCTGAAATTGTAACTTAAAAGTACTTTAGAGGAAAATATATAGAAATCTGGGTCTACTTTGCCTTATGTTTGTGTTACCAGAATGATTGATTGCCCACAAAAGCCGAATACATAACTTGCTTACTCTCCCAGGGATGCGCCCACTAATCTTTTTTTTTTTTTTTTTTTTGAGACAGCGTTTCACTCTTGTTGCCCAGGCTGGAGTGCAGTGGCGCCATCTCGGCTCACCGCAACCTCCGCCTTCTGGGTTCAAGCCATTCTCCTGCCTTAGCCTCCCGAGTAGCTGGAATTACAGGCATGAGCCACCACGCCTGGCTAATTTTGTATTTTTAGTAGCGACGGGGTTTCTTCATGTTGGTCAGGCTGGTCTCGAACTCCTGACCTCAGATGATCTACCCTCCTCGGCCTCCCAGAGTGCTGGGATTACAAGTATGAGCCACCGTGCCCGGCCAATCTTTTTTTTTTTTTTTTTAAATACTTACATTTTTGCGAAGTGATTTCTCCCTATTGCTACCAGAAAAAAAATCAGTTTATCTGGGGATGTATGCTTAATAAACGCTCTCTTTTTTTTTTTTTTTTTTTTGAGACGGAGTCTCGCTCTCTCCCCCAGGCTGGAGTGCAGTGGCGTGATCTCGGCTCACTGCAAGCTCCGCCTCCCAGGTTCACGCCATTCTCCTGCCTCAGCCTCCCGAGTAGCTGGGACTACAGATGCCCGCTACCACGCCCGGGTAATTTTTTGTATTTTTAGTAGAGATGGGGTTTCACCATGTTAGCCAGAATGGTCTCAGCCTCCCAAAGTGCTGGGATTACAGGCGTGAGCTACCACGCCTGGTAATAAACACTTATATCAACCATTCTACGTCATGATGTGCTTCTAAGAAGTCTTGTTGGCAATCTTTTAGTGAAAATTTTCTTCTTAATATGTTAATTATTACTGTATTACTTGGTATCTCAAACTGCTGTTTTCTGTTTGTTTGTTTTTTGTTTTTTGAGACAAGGTCTTGCTTTGTTGCCCACTCTGGAGTGCAGTGGCAGTGGTAATCATAGCTCACTGCAGCTTCCATCTCCCAGGCTCAAGCAGTCCTTCCACCTCAGCCTCCTGAGTAGCTGGGACAATGAGTGTGACAACTACGCTATCCTTTTTTCTTTCTTTTTTTTTTTTTTTGAGACAGAGTCTCCCTCTGTCGCCCAGGCTGGAGTGCGGTGGTGCGATCTCAGCTCACTGCAAGCTCCACCTCCCAGGTTCACGCCATTCTCCTGCCTCAGCCTCCCTGTAGCTGGGACTACAGGCGCCCCCCACCACGCCCGGCTAATTTTTTGTATTTTTTAGTAGGGATGGGGGTTTCACCATGTTAGCCAGGTTGGTCTCGATCTCCTGACCTCGTGATCCGCCTGCCTCAGCCTCCCAAAGTGTTGGGATTACAGGTGTGAGCCACAGTACCCGGCCAACTACACTAACCTTTTAAACTTTTTTGTGACATGGAGGTTTCACAATGTTGCCTAGGCTGGTCTCGAACTCCTGGGCTCAAGTGATCCTCCCACCTTGGCCTCCTAAAGTGCTGGGATTATAGGCATGAGTGACCATGCCCAGCCTGTTTTGTTGTTGTATTTTGTAAGAAATGCACCAAAGAGTTGATTGCAAGGTAATCTTTTTTTTTTTTTTTCCAGACGAGTCTTGCTCTGTCACCCAGGCTGGAGTGCAGTGGTGTGATCTTGGCTCACTGCAACCTCTGCCTCCCAGGTTCAAGCAGTTCTCTGCCTCAGCCTCCCGAGTGGCTGGAATTACAGGCGCCCACCACCACGCCCGGCTAATTTTTTTGTATTTTTAGTAGAGATGGGGTTTCACCATCTTGACCAGGCTGGTCTTGAACTCCTGACCTTGTGATCCACCTGCCTCAGCCCCCCAAAGTGCTGGGATTACAGGCGTGATCCATCGCGCCTGGCCAATAATCTTTAGACTTTAAGACTGTAAACTTCAGGAGTCCATTCTCAGGATAAGGGTGGCCCTTTTTGTTGCTGTAATTAGCATTTACGTCTATGGTGTACAGGTAGATAGTGTGTACTCCATGGAAACCTATGGCTACTGTAAGCTGTCCTTTCCTCTAATTACTTGGAGTCAAGTTAGGAGTTAGACCTTTATTCTTACCCGCCAGCATAATTTTGTCCTGGATTAGGAAACAGCTATAATCCCAGGACTTTGGGAGGCCAGAGTGGGTGGATCACCTGAGGTCAGGAGTTCGAGACCAGCCTGGCCAACATGGTGAAATCCGGTTTCTACTAAAAATACAAAAAAAAGTTAGCCGGGCATGGTGGTGGGCGCCTGTAATCCCAGCTACTTGGGAGGCTGAGGCAGGAGAATCACTGGAACCCAGGAGGCGGAGGTTGCAGTGAGCCAAGACCATGCCATCGCGCTCCAGCCTGGGCAACAAGAGCTAAACTCCATCTCAAAAAAAAAAAAAAAAAAAAAGATTGCCCGATAGTCCATTAAAAAGATATTGCCCAAATAATCCTTTGAAAAGGCTGTACCAATTTGACAGCTACATTTTATGAGACTTTAATAAAATACACAAGGTTTGGCTGGGTGGGGTGGCTCATGCCTATAATCCTAGCACTTTGGGAGGCTGAGGCGGGCGGATCACCTGAGGTCAGTTCAAGACCAGCTTGGCCAAGGGGAAACCCCGTCTCTACTAAAATACAAAAATTAGCCAGGCATGATGGCGGGTGCCTGTAATCCTAGTTATGGGGGAGACGGGAGACTCATTTGAACCCGGGAGACCATGGTTGCAGTGAGTCGAGATCACGCCACTGCACTCTAGCCTGGGTGGCTGAGCGAGACTCAGTCTCAAAAACAAAACAAAAACCTGTTTTAGTTAAGTATGTTGATTAGCAATGACTTATTTTAGCTTAATTGTAAACTATTATCTAGGTTATTTGCCTCATTTATAATTTATATTTCTTTCTTTTTTTTTTTTTTTTTGGAAACAGAGTCCCGCTCTGTCACCCAGGCTGGAGTACAGTGGCATTATCTCGGCCTACTGCAACTTCCACCTCCTGGGTTCAAGCAATTGTCCTGCTTCAGCCTCCAGAGTAGCTGGGACTACAGCCACCATGCCTAGCTAATTTTTGTATTTTTAGTAGAGATGGGCTTTCCCCATATTGGCCAGGTTGGTCTCGAACTCCTGACCGTGTGATCCGCCTGCCTCGGCCTCCCAAAGTGCTGGGATTACAGGCGTGAGCCACCGCACCCGGCTAGTTTATATTTCTTTAGGGAATTAACCCCTGTCTCTATTTTACTGCTCTCTGTTGGCCACTAAAAAATAATGATTTGAGGCCGGTCATGGTGGCTCACGCCTGTAATCCCGGCACTTTGGGAGGCCAAGGTGGCGGATCATCTGAGGTCAGGAGTTCGAGACCAGCCTGGCCAACATGGTGAAAACCTGCCTCTACTAAAAATACAAAAACTTAGCCAGGTGTGGTGGTGGGCGCCTGTAATCCCAGCTCCTTGGGAGGCTGAGGCAGGAGAATTGCTTGAACCCAGGAGATGGAGGTTGCAGGAGCTGAGATGATGCCACTCCACTCCAGCCTGGGTGACAGAGGGAGACTCTGTCTTACACACACACAAAAAGATAATGATTAATAATTACTAATATTAATAATAATTTGGTAAACATTTGTTGAATGCTTACTATGTACTAGACACAGTGAGGATTTCAGAGATAATTCAGATATGCATCAGTTCAATGATAGATCATGACAGTGTTAGCAGAACAAATGCATTTTTGGGATTGCAAAAACATCACAATTGCATTAATAGTAATAAGATTTTTTTTTTTTTTTTTTTGAGGCAGAGTCTCACTCTATTGCCCAGGCTGGAGTGAAATGGTGCTCTCTCTGCTCACTGCAACCTCCACCTCCTGGGTTCAAGCAATTCTCCTGCCTTAGCCTCCTGAGTGGGTAGCTCGGACGACAAGTGCACACAACCATGCCCAGCTAATTTTTTTATTTTTAGTAGACATGGGGTTTCACCATGTTGGCCAGGCTGGTTTTGAACTCCCGACCTCAGGTGATCCGCCTGCCTCGGCCTCCCAAAGTGCTGGGATTACAGGCGTGAGGCACCGCGCCCGGCCCTGTGTGTGATTTTTCTACCTCTGTTCCTTTGATTGTTACTTCAGCCTATAATGCCTCTTTTCCCTTCAGTTCCTTTTCTAAATTCTACCTATTTTTAAATATCTAGATAATAGTGGTCACTTATTGTGTGCTTATTATTTAAGGTTCTATTCTAAGTATTTTATGTGGATTAATTCATTTAATCCTCACTGCAGTCCCCTAAGGGACTCATATTATACTTATTGTACAGATGAAACTGGAGCACACAGGTTAAACAACTCGCTGGAGATGATACAGCTATTAGGAGTGTTACCTGGGATATGAACCCAGGTAGTCTAATTCCAGAATCTGTATTTTTAGCCGTCATGCTTTACTGCATCTTACTTTACAGATAGCCTCCGAAAACACAGCAAGTAGTTTTGATAACAAAAGACTGAATATAAGCAAAGTTGATCACTATTTTAGCTGATGAAGAGAATTTGCAGTCTTTTGTTTTGCCTTTGTCTCTCCTGAGAAATAACTTTGTTTTTTAAGTTCTGAATTACTATGCTAGGGTTTCTTTTTTTTGAGACGGAGTCTTGCTCTGTCGCCCAGGCTGGAGTGCAGTGGCGTGATCTTGGCTCACTGCAAGCTCCGCCTCCCAGGTTCTCGCCATTCTCCTGCCTTAGCCTCCCGAGTAGCTGGGACTACAGGCGCCCGCCACCACGCCCGGCTAATTTTTTGTATTTGTAGTAGAGATGGGGTTTCACCGTGTTAGCCAGGATGGTCTCAATCTCCTGACCTCGTGATCCGCCCGCCTTGGCCTCCCAAAGTGCTGGGATTAGAGGTGTGAGCCACCGCGCCCGGTCTGTGCTAGGGTTTTAAAAATTGAGGGTTTTTTTTTTTTTTTTTCCCGAGATGGAGTCTTGCTCTATTGCCCAGGCTGGAGTGCAGTGGCATGATCTCAGCTCGCTGCAACGTCCGCCTCCCAGGTTCAAGCAATTCTCTGCCTCAGCCTCCTGAGTAGCTGGGATTACAGGTGCCTGCCACCACGCCCGGCTAATTTTTTTGTATTTTTAGTAGAGACGGGGTTTCACCATCTTGGCCAGGCTGGTCTTGAACTCCTGACCTTGTGATCCACCTGCCTCAGCCTCCCAAAGTGCTGGGATTATAGGTGTGAGCCACCGCGCCTGGACAAAAATTGAGTTTTTAAATCATTCATTACTTGGTCACATCAGGAGTAGGAGTACCTGCATCAGAGTGGTACATCAGAGTGGTACACTTATTTATTTATTTATTTAATATCTTTTTTGAGACGGAGTTTCGCTCTTGTTGCCCGAGCTGGTGTGCAGTGGTGCAATCTTGGCTCACTGCAACCTCCACCTCTCAGGTTCAAGCAATTCTCCTGCCTCAGCCTCCCAAGTAGCTGGGATTACAGGTGCGCACCACCATGCCTGGCTAATTTTTTGTATTTTAGTAGAAACGAGATTTTACCATGTTAGCCAGGCTGGTCTTGAACTCCTGACCTCAGGTGATCCGCCTGCCTTGGCCTCCCAAAGTGTTGGGATTATAGGCATGAGCTGCCACGCCCAGCTATTTATTTTTACAAATGGGGTCTCACTATGTTGTCCAGGCTGGACTTGAACTCCTGGGTTCAAGTGATCCTCCTGCCTCAGCCTCCTGAGTAGCTGGAACTATAGGCACCCCCAACTGTGCCCAGCACTGGATTCTCTTTATTTTTTTATTTATTGTGTTTATTTATTTTTTGGAGATGGAGTTTCGCGCTTGTCACCCAGGCTGGAGTGCAATGGCGTGATCTTGGCTCACTGCAGCTTCCGCCTCCTGGGTTCAAGTGATTCTCCTGCCTCAGCCTCCCGAGTAGCTGGGATTAAAGGCATGTGCCACTACGCCTGGCTAATTTTTGTATTATTAGTAGAGACAGAGTTTTAGCATCTTGGCCAGGCTGGTCCTGAACTCCTGACCTCAGGTGATCCACCCACCTCCTGACCTCAGGTGATCCACCCACCTCGGTCTCTCAGAGTGCTGGGATTACAGATATGAGCCACCGTACCCAGCCCTGGATTCTCTATAAATCAGGCATATTTAAGTTACTTCTTAGAAAAGATCCCATGCTCTGTGATTCTCAACATTAGATCTTAACTGAGTGCTTGTTTGGGCACTTAAACAGATGAAGAAAAACTTCTTGGCTGGGCTTGGTAGTTCAGTATCTCATCTGTATTGTGGGCTTAATAGGTATTGGTGGGCCATCCTGGGAACGTACCATTTAGAAAATGATCTATGGCAAAATGGGCTTCTAAGGTCAAAGCCAGATTATATGAACTTTTGGAATAAGGCCTGTTTTTTCTTTGAGTGCTGCTAACTGCTGGCCAGGGATGTCCAATCTTTTGTCTTCTCTGGGCCATGTTGAAAGAATTGTCTTGGACCACACATGAAATACACTTGAAGAAATTTATGAATTTGTGTTGGGCTGCATTGAAAGCCATCCTGGGCTATGGGTTAGAGAAGCTTGGTTTATGGATACCTAGGAAGGAAAAATGAATTCTCTGCCTTTCATAATTACTAAACTGTGGAATTCATAGGAGGAAGACATTGATTCTATACAGGCAGGATAAAAGCTGATTAATCCAGATAATTGAAGAGTTTCTACACACTCACTGTTCTTAGTTTTTAAAATAACCTTAGGTTTAGACCATATCTAGAGATTGATATGTTTGGTGGCTCTTAAGACATTGTTGACTGTCTTTGCTAATGGCAGGAATGTAAGTCAAGAACTCTTGTAATCGAATTATCTAATATTTTTATTAAAACTGCATATATAGTTGAAAACAAATTGTTATTTTAAAATTGTTTTTTTAAAATTGATATTTTAAAGCTTCAAGTAAAAGCTACCATTATTTGCTAAAAAAAAGAAACATTCCTCTTCCCCAAACAAATCCAAGAAGCAAAGCAAGAAGTGAAAAGATTTGACTTTTTAAAGTGAATTTGTAAATTGGATGCGGTGGCTCACCTGTAATCCCAGCTACTTGGGAGGCTGAGGTGGGAGGATGACTTGAGGCCAGATGTTTGAGACCATCCCAGGCAACATAGCAAGACTCCATTTCTAAAAAGAAGTAAAGTAAATTTATGTGCAACTCATAAATTCTGTGTTGAGATAAAAACTGAAGTTACAATTTGACTCTGGAATGTTTAGTTAGTACTATACATCTTTTGAGTCTAATTGACAGGGTGAGTTTTGTTTTGTTATTTTGAGATAAGAGTCACTATTTTGCCCAGGCTGGCCTGGAACTCCTGGGCTCAGGCGATCACTTCAGTCTCTGGAGTAGCTGGGATTACCGCTTCAGAAGTGATTTTGACAAGTTATTCTGGAACTGTGTTGGAGAAGTTTAAAAAAGGTTGGGGTGGGAGTCGAAATCAAACTAGTTTTACCATACCAGGATCTTTTTGTAGCACATTTGAGATGTAAACATGTTTCCTTTTGAAATTTGGTAGAATAGTTATATTATTTTTCCCAATGCTATGTGATTAAAAACACAAGGCTCAAATTTATTTTTAAGGCTTGATTAAAACCTCTTGTTTCTATGGAAGAAAAGTTATTAAATTGAAAGGGGGCTTTAGAAATTTTAATTCCAAGATTGCTTTAAGAAGAGAGAGGCAAGTCAAATTGGATATGGGCCTCACAGAATTGACCTTGCTACTTCCTGGGTCTGGGAAACTGAGGGGGCTATGTTGCATTGGGGCGGGGCGGAAGCCTGGTAGGAGCTAGAAGTGAAACTGGAAGTGCCTTAAAAAAGCACATCGTTGTGTTAGGCTGAGTCAAGCTGGAATGAGCAGTGAGACAGTACAATTCTTAGGCATAAATATGTACGTAGTTCACCTGTAGATTTGCTGGAAGAGCCGACATGTTTGCAGTACCACAGACCAGAGAAGTCTCAGTGGAGGAAAATGAGAGAGAAGCAAAGGGAGAGATGGAGTTAGGGGCCTTCGGGTTCAGATTTTGAAATAAAATCTATGAGTCTTTGAGGGAGGCAGCAGGAAGTTAAAGGTGGAATACTGGAAATAGTTTTCCTTCCTCCATGCTGTATGGAGATGGGGGCTGCTGCATGGAAGTGGGGGCTAGATGTTGGTGAAGGTGTCCTTGTTCGAGCAGAGAAGGTAAGGTATATCCCCTTGGTTGGTTTGTTTTAAGGTGACAGATTCCTGCTACAATATTAGCAATACAAACAAAGGTTAGACAATCTTGTTAATTTTATTATGCCTGGGGTTAAAATTGAAATTCCCTTATTTTAAAAGAAAAATAGCTTATAACATAACAGTGACATCTAAGCGGAATAAATTTCCATGGCAGTTTAATGGTAGTTGTGTGCTTTCTGTCACACACACAACATACTCTTGTCTAACTAGGGCATGCAGTGCTGTTTTTCCCACAGGATTGGTAAGTGATAGATTCATATTCAAAGAGAGAAAAACCACTGCTCTTTCAGTGGGCCTCCCCTACTTCCCATTCCCAGAAACCACTCAGACACTGTGTGGATGGGTGCGAAGCATTATGGATTGGGGCTTATGGTTTGTGGCCCTGAGGTAGACCAGGGGGATCTTGTTAAAATGCCGATTTCTGGCAAGGCATCAGGTGATGGTGAAGAAAGTTTTGAGTACCAGGAGGTAGAGTAGTGGTTCTTAGACTTTAAAAGCTGGACACCCCCACCAGTGCTTTTGATTCACCTCACTGGGTGGGGCCTGCAGATTTCATTTTAAACAGGTTCCTAGGTGATGCTAATGCACATGAAGGGCAGGGTGTGTTCTGAGAGCCACTGTGGTGGAGTAGAAACAACCGAGGAGAATCAAGCCCATCCATCTCATCCTGGCTTCTTGAGCATTATTTCCTTTTTCTTTGTTTTTGTTTTGAGACAGGGTTTCACTCTGTCACTCAGGCTAGAGTGCAGTGGCATGATCCTGGCTCACTGCAGTCTCGATCTCCCCAGGCTCCAGTGACCCTCCCTCCACAGCCTCCCAAGTAGCTGGGACTACAGGTGGGTGCCACTACTCCCGGCTAATTTTTTGTATTTTGTAGTAGAGACGGGTTTTCGCCATGTTGGCCAGGCTGGTCTCAAACTCCTGGGCTCAAGTGATCCACCTGCCTTGGCCTCCCAAAGTGCTGAGATTACAGGTGTGAGCCACCGCACCAGGCTTTGAACATTATATATATTTTTTATTTTTTATTGAGATGGAGTTTTGCTCTTGTTGCCCAGGCTGGAGTGCAATGGCGCCATCTTGGCTCACCACAACCTCCACCTCCCGGGTTCAAGCAATTCTCCTGCCTCAGCCTCCCGAGTAGCTGGGATTGCAGGCATATGCCACCACGCCTGGCTAATTTTTTGTATTTTTAGTAGAGATGGGGTTTCTCCATGTTGGTCAGGCTGGTCTCAAACTCCCGACCTCAGGTGATTCGCCCACCTCAGCCTCCCAAAGTGCTGGGATTATAGGTGTGAGCCACTGTGCCTGGCCCTTGAACATTATTTTCTAACTGAACTGAAAATAGTGGGGGAAAAAAAAGATTGAACAAAGTAGTAGAGTAATACCATTCATGTTAAATGAATAGCACTCCATAAAACACTTCTCTGTATTTTACTGTGATATGTCTCTCTCTCTATATAGAAAGGGCCAACAGTAAACCCCACCTAACTGATAACAAAGATGATTACTTCTGGAGAGAAGGATCCAGGATTATGGAGGGTGGGACTTCAGGTTTCTGTGTAAGGTTTTACTTTTTTGAGATGGACTCTTGCTCTGTCGCCCAGGCCAGAGTCCAGTGGTGCGATCTCAGCTCACTGCAAGCTCCGCCTCCTGGGTTCAAGCAATTCTTCTGCCTCAGCCTCCTGAGTAGCTGGGACTACAGGCACCTGCCACCATGCCCAGCTAATTTTTGTATTTTTAATAGAGACAGGGTTTCACCGTATTGGTCAGGCTGGTCTTGAACTCCTGACCTTGTGATCCACCCGCCTCAGCCTCCCAAAGTGTTGGGATTACAGGTGTGAACCACTGTGCCTGGCCTAATTTTTTTTTATTTTTTGAGACAGAGTTTTGCTCTTGTTGCTCAGGCTGGAGTGCAGTGGCATGATCTCGGCTCACTGCAACCTCTGCCTCCCAGGTTCAAGCAATTCTCATGCCTCGGCCTCCCGAGTAGCTGGGATTACAGGCACCCGCCACCACACCTGGCTAATTTTTGTATTTTTAATAGAGACGGGGTTTCCCTATGTTGGTCAGGCTGGTGTCAAACTCCTAACCTCAAGTGATCCACCTGCCTCGGCCTCCCAAAGTGCTGAGATTATAGGCGTGAGCCACCACGCCAGGCTCATGTATTTAATTTTATAAAAAGTTAAAAGAAATCTGGGCTGGATATCTTTTCTTTACCTCTCCAGATCCATCCTCTACTCTTTTCTACCTGGCTCTTTGCCCCAGATAAAGAACTCTTAGGCCCTCTGGATTGAAGGGCCAGAGAAGGAGGTCAGAATATTTATCCCTTCACCTCTCAGGGTAGCATGTATTATATACCTGGATTCTGCGTTCTGGTAATCTCTGTCTCCTATCTTCTTTGGCACTTCTAGAAGCAATACTTGTTCTGCCTTTTTTTTTTTTTTTTTAAGACAGAACATTGCTCTGCCCAGCAGGCTGGAGTACAGTGGTGCGATCATGGCCCACTGCAGCCTTGAGCTTCTGGGCCCAAGCAGTCTTCCCACCTCAGCCTCTTGAGTAGGGACAACAGGCGTGCGCCACCACAACTGGCTAGTTTCTAAACATTTTTTGTAGAGGTGGAATCTTGCTGTGTTTCCTAGACTAGTCTTGAACTCCTGAGCTCACTCAGTCTTCCCACCTTGGCATCCCAAAGTGCTGGGATTACAGGTGTGAGCCACTGTTGCTCAGCCTTGTTCTGCCTTTACTAGTCCTGATTTCTGTTCCATCCCCATGGTTTCTGTAGCCTCTATTCCCCTACTTTGTAATTATTTCTTTTATAAACAAACCCTTCTCAGATTATTCTGATTTGTATTTGCCATCTCTTTACTTTTGGGACCTGACTGATGGACCCTCCATTCTTATTCCTCTCCCCACTATAATCCCAGAGGTGGTAACAGGTACCATTTTGGTGTGTGTCCACAAATTACCTGTGTGAGAGGCGCAGGCATTTGTGTATAGAGATGATGCATGGAAGTGTACATTAATTGTTGAAAAAGCTATAGTGGGTTTTATTATTGCTGCTAATGGTGTTATTATTGGTAGTGATGTTATATCCCAAATGGCCTGACCCACCCAGTTAGTGACTCTTGAAGCAGAGAGCAGCAGAATCATAATCTGACCTCCTTATTGTCATATTGAGGAAACAGGCCCACAGAGGGCTAGGCTCTTCTCTCAGGCCCCATAGCTCAGAGCTGCAGCCTCCTTGCACTGGGCTGTTTTCTCTTGCTGCATAATTACTCTCCTTAATTAGTGATATTCAAAGTATTTTGAATATATACTCTGAAAATCTTGAAAAATTTTAAGTAGACATCTAATTTTTTTCATAATTTTAAATAGTTGGAAAAGATAATTTCACTATTACTGTTACCCATATATGTATGTGTGTGTATATGTGTGTGTGTGTGTATATATATATATTATATATATATATATGTAATAGCAATCAGATTAGTTGCAGTTGTTTTTTTTTTTGAGACGGAGTCTCGCTGTGTCGCCCAGGCTGCAGTGCAATTGTGTGATCTCGGCTCACTGCAACCTCCACCTCCTGGGTTCAAATGATTCTCCTGCCTCAGCCTCCTGAGTAGCAGGGATTACAGGCGCGTGCCACCACGCCTGGCTAATTTTTGTATTTTTAGTAGAGACGGGGTTTCGCCATGTTGACCAGGCTGGTCTCAAACTCCTAACCTTAGGTGAAACTGCCTGCCTCAGCCTCCCAAAGTGCTGTGATTACAGGTGTGAGCCACCGCAACTGGCTGTCTTTATGCCTTTTCAAATTTTTTTATAAGTAGACATTATTGTCTTCTGATTACAAAAATATACATGGCAAAATTTAAAATGTTATAGAAATGTATATTAGAGAAAATAAAAGTTCCTTTATTTGAATCCTGCAGAGGTCAGTGAGGATTGGATATGTGTATATTCATGTAGTGTTGTGTATAAATTTACAAAAAGTGGGACCATAGTATATATATTGTTCTGAAACTTGCTTTTTTCCCACTTTATAATAATGTTGGGTCTCTTTCCAAGTCAGTATTTATAAATTTATTTTTTGAAACATTTGTTTGACATACGAAATACGTATAGAAACATTCATATCTTGTAAGTTTGCAGCTCAATGAATCATCATAGTGTGAACCCACGTGTGTAACTACCAAGCAGGTCAAGAAATAAAATACTAAAACTACGCTTTATGAGCCTCCCATTGTGCCTGCTACCTCATTCTTAACAGCTTTATCGAAATATAAATTTACATATACAATTTACCCAAATAAAGTATACAATTAAGTGGGTTTTGGTGTATTCACAGTTGTGTAACCAGTACCACTATCTAATACCAGAGCATTTTCATCTCCCTGAAAAGAAATCCTCCACTCATTGGCAGTCACTCTCCATTTCCTCCCATCTCAGTCCTAGGCAACAGCTATCTACTTTCTGTCTCTGTAGATTAGCCTGTTCTGGACCTTTTATATAAATGGAATCATACAATTTGCACTTTTATGAACAGTACTGGCTTCTTCCACTTAGAATAGATAGTATTTTCAGGTTCATCTATGTTGTGACATGTATCAGCACTTTGTTACTTTTTTTTACTTTTTCACGAGACAGAGTCTCGCACTGTTGCCCAGGCTCAAGTGCAGTGGCCCGATCTCGGCTCACTGCAAGCTCCGCCTCCTGGGTTCACACCATTCTCCTGCCTCAGCCTCCTGAGTAGCTGGGACTACAGGTGCCTGCCACCATGCCCGGCTAATTTTTTTTGTATTTTTAGTAGAGACGGGGTTTCACCGTGTTAGCCAGGATGGTCCCGATCTCCTGACCTCGTGATCCACCCGCCTCGGCCTCCCAAAGTGCTGGGATTACAGGCGTGAGCCACCGCGCCCGGCCAGCACTTTGTTACTTTTTGTAGGTAAATATTAGTTGTATAGGTGTATCATACTTTACCCATTCATCAGTTAATGCACATATGGATTGCATCCTATTTTGGATGATTATGAATAATGCTGCTATGGGCCGGGTATAGTGGCTGATGCCTGTAATCTCAGCACTTTGGGACGCCAAGGCAGGCGGATCACCTGAGGTCAGGAGTTCGAGACCAGCCTGACCAACATGGAGAAACCCTGTCTCTATAAAAATATAAAATCAGCCAGGCGTGGTGGCGTATGCCTGTAATCCCAGTTAGTCGGGAGGCTAAGGCAGGAGAATCGCTTGAACCTGGGTAGTGGAAGTTGCAGTGAGCCGAGATTGTGCCATTGCACTCCAGCCTGGGCAACAAGAGCGAAACTCCATCTTGAAAGAAAAAAAAGAAAAAAAGAATGCTGCTATGAACACTTGTGTACAAGTTTTTACATGGACATATATTTTTATTTCTCTTGTGTAAACACGAACCCACCCCTATGTAGGAGTAGAATTACTGGGTCAAATGGAACTCTAAGCTTAACCTTTTGAGGAACTGCCGTGCTGTTTTTTAAGGTTGTTACACCATTTTATATTCCCACCAGCAGTGTACGAGGGTTCTAATTTCTCCACATTGTTGCCAACACTTGTTCTCTGTTATCTGTCTTTTTGATTATAGCCCTCCTAGTGGGTGGGAAGTGGTATCTCCTTCTAGTTTTGATTTGCATTCCCCCCATGGCTAATGATGTTAAGTATCTTTTTGTGTTATTGGTCCATGCAGATTTTAAGAAGGCTTTTAAAATTCTCTGTCAGAGGCAGAGCACTAAATAGTATCTTTTTGAGTCCTCATAATTGTAAAACAAGCATTTTAGTACATTTGCTTTCTTTACTTTTTTCTTTGCAAATCTGGAATTTTATGTTATCTTTATATATTACATATTTTTGGAAATGATTTTTAAAAATGTTCCACACAATTATGTAGCCAGATTGATCACAGTTATTTAGATTTATCTGTATTTTAACTTGTTTTGCCATTTCCTTCCATTCTTAGCTATACAGTGTATGTATATTAATTTATTGGGTGAATATTGCAGTTTCCAGGATTTGTGTTTTCACAGTTTGTTTAGGGTTACATGAGTAGATATATATGACTGATAATCTGATACAAATATGATTTTTTTTTTTTTTTGAGACGGAGTCTCACTCTGTCACCCAGGCTGGAGTACAGTGGCGCGATCTCAGCTTACCACAACCTCCGCCTCCCAGGTTCAAGCAATTCTCCTGCCTCAGCCTCCTGAGTAGCTGGGATTACAGGTGTGCGCCACCACACCTGGCTAATTTTTTTTTGTATTTTTAGTAGTGACAGAGTTTCACCATATTGGCCAGGCTGGTCTCGAACTCCTGACCTTGTGATCCGCCTGCCTTGGCCTCCTAAAGTGCTGGGATTACAGGCGTGAGCCACTGCGCCCGGCCTAAATATGATTTCAAATTATAATTAAGGCTTGCATTTCATCTACATAATGCAGAGCTTTGATCTTGTCAGAAATTAGAAGATAATTTTTTTTGTGTGGTTTTTTGTTTGTTTGTTTGTTTTTTGAGACAGAGTCTTGCTCTGTCGCCCAGGCTGGAGTGCAGTGTCGTGATCTAGGCTCACTGCAATCTCCACCTCCCGGGTTCACGCCATTCTCCTGCCTCAACCTGAGTACCTGGGAGTACAGGTGCCTGCCACCACGCCCGGCTAATTTTTTGTATTTTTAGTAGAGACAGGGTTTCACCATGTTAGCCAGGATGGTCTCTATCTCCTGACCTCGTGATCCGCCCGCCTCGGCCTCCCAAAGTGCTGGGATTACAGGCGTGAGCCACCGCACCTGGCCTAAGATAATAGTTTTTGGTCACTTATTTTTCTGAGGACAAAAGAGTAAGTGTGAGCTAGGGAGTTTGCAGAGAAAAATAGCTTAGTCTCTTCTTGGTGATTAGAGAGATGATTAGGGAAATTAAATAGACAGACTGGAAAGCATGGTTCAATTATTTGGAAGAATTACCTAATCCCAGTGCACCATACATACTTGCCTTTGTTCAAATGTAATATGTACATATCTTTGTATTTGTGTGATTCATCAGTACCATTGCCCCCTTCGTGACCACGTCTTTGCATTATTACAAATGATTTTTTTTTTCTAGTGTACCTTGCTTTACCCAAAAGGTAAACAGTTCATATTGAAAATTGAATGGAAATGCTCTTGAATTTACAAGGAGACACCCAGCAGAATGGCATAATTGTGAGTTTTTCAAGGCCTACGTTTAGATCATTGAAGAACTAGTATTCTATTTCATGGATCCAGAAATGAGACTTTCCTGCATTCCTGTGAGTGATCAGACTCATATTATCTAAATAACAGAAGGCTTGTATCAAACTGAAAGTGCCAGTTTATTACTTCATAATGTGCGGGGCCTTTCTCCTGACTTACATGCAAGAAACAAATGAGTGTCTACTGTGTACCAGGCCTACATACTGGCTACACAGTAGTGAACAAAAGCAGGTAAAACCTCTACTCTTATGAAGCTTACATCCTCATGATGTGAGACAGACAGTAAGCATAAATATGCCATAAGGATGATAAGTGGTAAGAAGAAAAACAGATCAGGGTAGGCCAAGATAAGCAAAGAATGAAAGCAGGTGCTATTTAAATCACTTGACCAGGCTGCTCTGCCTATGGAGTAGCCATTCTTTATTCCTTCACTTGCTTAATAAGCTTGTTTTCACTTAAAAAAAAAAAAAGTAAATCAGGGCGGGGTACAGTGGCTCACACCTGTAATCCCAGCAGGGGAGACTGAGGCAGGCAGATCACCTGAGGTCAGGAGTTGGAGACCAGCCTGGCCAACATGGTGAAACTCCGTGTCTACTAAAAATACAAATATTAGCCAGGTGTGGTGGTGCCCGCCTGTAGTCCTAGCTACTCGGGAGGCTGAGGCACGACAATCACTTAAACCTGGGAGGCGGAAGTTGTGGTGAGCTGAGATCATGCCACTGATCTCCAGCCTGGGCGACAGAGCAGGACTCTGTCTCAAAAAAAAAAAAAAATCAATCAGTTGGTCAGAGAAAGCATCATTGGTGCAGTGACATTTGAGCAGAAATTCGAAGGAAGTTAGGCATCAAGCTGTTTTAAGTGCAGAAGCCCTGACGCAAAAGTGTGCTTGCTGTATTCCATGAACAGGAGTGTTCAGAGGTAAGATGGTGACCTTCTAGACTATTAGGGATACTTTGTTTTTGACCTTTGTTCTGAATGAGATGAGATCACTGAGCAGAGGAGTGGTGATATATGGTATGACTTCCCTTCTAGGATCTTTCTGGCCGCTGTGCTGAGAATGGGTTGTAGGAGGGTAAGGATTGAAGCAGGAAAAGCAGTTGGAGGCTGTTACGGTAGAGCAGGAGAGAGATGAGGTGATTTACCTGCATCTTGGTGATAGTTGGGAAGTTTGCTAAGTTGCATACAGGCTGGTTGGTGTATAGTCAGTCACCCTTCAGCCCTCTTTGACTTAATCCTTTATTCCAGTTCCCTGAAACTGCTCTGCCAAGGTCATCCATAATGGTGGGTTGCCAAACCAGTGGATATTCAGACCACATCTTACTGCATCTCTTACCAGAGTTATCCACGTAATTTATCCTCTTTCTTGGATCCCAGCCTGTTGGCTTCTGTAATCTCATAATCCTTGTTTTCCTCTTACCTTTGCATATACTTTTTGCCAACCTCTTTTCCCGGTCACTGCATGTTTGAGTTCCTCAGGGCTTGGGCCTGTTTCTTCATCTCTCTTCTGTGTTTTCTGGATGATAGCATTTGTTCCCAAGGATTTAAATATCATTTATGTGCTGAGAATCCCCAAATTTGTATTTTATAGGGAGTTCATACTTCACATGTCCAAACTGAAATTATTATCTGCAAAACTATTTCTCCCCTTAGTTTTTTCCATCGGAAATGCTTAAACCAGGAATCTAGGAGTCATTTTTGGCACCTTTGTTTTTCTTACACACCACTCCCCACCACATTCTTGTCCTTTCCAGCACATCTCCAGAATGTATTTTGTATTGTTTCACCTCTTTTCACTGAAGCTATCCCATCTCTCCCCCTGAACTGCCACAGTAGCCTTTCAGCTGGTCTTCACACTTGTCTGGTCTCCAATTTTTTTCTCTGCATAGCAGCCAGAGAAAGCTTTTGAAAGAATGGGTCACATGGTTACTTAAACTATTCAGTGGCATCCCATTGCACTTGAATTTACAGTTTTTCCTGTCTCTTCCAGGCTGTTTTCTCTGCATAGAACACTCTTGTTCTACCCTTTGAGTACTCAGCTCCTTCTCATCCCTGAGCTCTCAGCTTTCTTCTGAGGCCTTCCTTGACTACTCAGTCTAAAGAAGGTTTTACCTCTCTGCTCTGTCATTGTATTCTGGTTTTCTTTTTCCTTTATAGCATACAGCTTACCACTACTCATTCATGGCTTTAACATCCCTGACCCAGAGTTTTTGTTTGTTTGTTTGTTTGTTTTGAGATGGAGTTTTGCTCTTGTTGCCCAGGCTGGAGTGCAGTGCAGTGGTGCAGCCTTGGCTCACCGCAATCTCCGCCTCCCAGGTTCAAGCAATTCTCCTGCCTCAGCCTCCCAAGTAGCTGGGATTACAGGTGTGCACCACCACACCCAGCTAATTATTGTATTTTTTAGTAGATACGGGGTTTCCCCCATGTTGGCCAGGCTGGTCTTGAACTTCTAATCTCAGGTGATCCACCTGCTTTGGCCTCCCAAAGTGTTGGAATTACAGTTGTGAGCCATCGCGACCAGCCTCCTTTTTTTTCTTTCTTTCTTTCTTTTTTTTTTTTTTTTTTTTTGAGAGAGTTTCCCTCTTGTTGCCCAGGCTGGAGTGCAATGGTGCAATCTCGGCTCGCTGCAACCTTCACCTCCTGGGTTCAAGCGATTCTTCTGCCTCAGCCTCCTGAGTAGCTGGGATTACAGGCATGTGCCACCACGCCTGGCTAATTTTGTATTTTTAGTAGAGATGGGGTTTCTCCACGTTGGTCAGGCTGGTCTTGAACTCCGAACCTCAGCTGATCTGCCTGCCTTGGCCTCCCAAAGTGCTGGGATTATGGGAGTGAGCCACCGCGCCTGGCTCCTTTTTTTCTTTATATGTGTGAATGTCACTGATTAAGCTAGTTGCTGCTTCCAGTCCATTAAGTGTTCTGGGACTAGGAAAAGTCTGTTTCCCACCACTGTGCATTGATTTACCTTACTTTCTGGATCAACCCTGTTCTTGGTGATGGGGTCGGGGCAGGCACTTGCACACACACACTTAATGTTACCTCCATTTACTCCAGTATGTATATGTATGATAGTTTGGCTAAACCACTATAGATAAAAGCTTTTTATTCCTGCTTTTGAATTTCCTGTTTGTTGTGTAAAGTTTAAATTAGTCTATGCCTTCCTGTGGTCACTTATGCGAGAGAAGTAAACCATCAGTTGTGCCAATAAATTAGATAATTGGAATTTCTAGTATATTTATTGCTCTTTACTGTTTTTAATCCTCAACGTCTTGTAGGCAACATTCTTAGTATCTTCTAGGCAGTTGATCATAAGCTTAAGAAACCACAAGAAAAATGTTTTTAAAGTTACATTTGTGATCTCTAATTGGGAGCACTGATTTTGGCCCTAAGTAGGGTTTTTAGATATTAAGAAGCATAGTTTTGGTGAATGGATTTAATTTTCTGTCGTTTAAGTTAGAAAAACATTCGTTTGCATTAAGTTAAAAAATTTTCTCTTATAGTATTGGATAGCAATAGCCTAAAAATGCATAGGTGTAAAATACAACAATGTTACTAATCGCCACAGAGTATCTTGTATGCACAGATTTCTTGACTCAATAATCCTTTCTCAATTTTCTTTTGGGAAAACACTAAAATCAGTTAAAACTGATTTTCAGTATTGTACATGACAGTAGAAGATGGAAATGAAAATAAACTTTCCTAAAATCCGCAAGTCTCTGAAGTGAAAATAGTATTTAGTGGTGGTAGAAGGAAAGCAGGATTTCTTTGTAAGCACTATACAATAATTAGAGTTAATATTTTATGTAGCCTGTGATGGAGTATGTACACACATACACATACTCTTCTCTTGCACACTCACATATCCAGGGTGTTAAATACAAAGTAATTCTTCAGTGTCAGAAAACACTAAGGGGATTTGTGTTCACAGCTTATAAAATTGTGATAATGGATTTATTCTCTAAATACAAAATACTCAGTGTACCAAAATGAAGGCAATGCCCTATCCCTAATGTTTGACAGAGAGATTTTTGTTTTGGACAAATAAAAGGAGTAAATGCCTTAACACAGGTTACTGAATTAAGTATACCCAGGAAGTGTTAGTACTAGTTGAGATAAAGTAATTTCAGGGAGTGTTTTTGCTGAAAGGCCCTTTACCCTAGAGATTCCCCCAGAACATTTCTGTCCCTTTCCCAGTCTTTTCAGTGTGTAGCTGTGGAGGGCAATCTTTATCTTTCTTTTTTTTTTTTTTTGAGACAGAGTCTCGCTCTGTCACCAGGCTAGAGTGCAGTGGTGTGATCTCGGCTCACTGCAACCTCCACCTCCTGGGTTCAAGTGATTCTCCTGCCTCAGCCTCCTGAGTAGCTGGGATTGCAGGCCTGCACTACCACGCCCACCTAATTTTTGTATTTTTAGTAGAGACAGGGTTTCACCATGTTGGCCAGGATGGTCTCAATCTCTTGACCTCGTGATCTGCCCACCCTGGCCTCCCAAAGTGCTGGGATTACAGGTGATCCACCGCGTCCAGCCAGAGGGCAATCTTTCTGTCTTACAGAATGTCTTGATGGTCTGTGGTTAAGACACCAAATGTGGCGATATGTTGGTCAGGATATATAGTGGACTTGTCTCTCTGTCTTGTGACTGGTGAACTTATGGTTTCTCAATATTACTGTGTCTGGAATTTATTCCTTCCGGTGTGTTCTTGATTTCAAGAATGAAGCCGCGGACCCTCGCGGTGAGTGTTACAACTCTTAAAGATGGTGTGTCCAGAGTTTGTTCCTCCAGATGTTCAGATGTGTCCGGAACTTCCTTCCGGTGGGTTCGTGGTCTCACTGACTTCAGGAGTGAAGCCGCAGATCTTCGCAGTGAGTGTTACAGCTCTTAAAGGTGGCACGTCAGGAGTTGTTTGTTCCTCCCGGTGGGTTTGTGGTCTCGCTGACTTCAGGAATGAAGCCGCGGACGCTTGTGGTGTGTGTTACAGCTCATAAAGGTAGTGCAGACCCAAAGAGTGAGCAGCAGCAAGATCTACTGTGAAGAGCAAAAGAACAAAGCTTTCACAGCGTGGAAGGGGACCCAGGCGGGTTGCTGCTGCTGGCTCGGGTGGCCAGCTTTTATTCTCTTATTTGGCCCTGCCCACATCCTGCTGGTTGGTCCATCTTACAGAGCACTGACTGGTCCATTTTACAGAGTGCTGATTGGTGTGCTTACAATCCTTTAAACACAGAGCGCTGATTGGTGCATTTACAATCCTTTAGCTAGACAGAAAAGTTCTCCAAGTCCCCACCCGACCCAGAAGTCCAGCTGGCTTCACCTCTCATTACTACTATATTGAGGCTCTGCATTCCAAAAGCGTTGGTGTATGTGAGGAGAGGCAACCTTTGTTGTGTGTTCTGCAACCATCAATGGACTGCCTTACCTCCACAGCTTGAAAGCTTTGTTTACTTAAAGCAGGATTCTGAACCTTTTTGGCATGATGGTTCTCTTTTGAGGATCTGATAAAAGCTAGGGCTCTTCTCAACCTAACACATGCACAAATGCACATACATTCTGAATTTTGTGTACAGTTTTAGGGAGTTTGTAGACCTCCTGAAGTCCCCTGATAATTTTTTTTTTTTTGGAGACGGAGTCTCCCTCTGTCACCCAGGCTGGAGTGCAGTGACGTGATCTCAGCTCACAGGTGCCCACCACCATGCCTGGTTAATTTTTGTTTATTTAGTAGAGACGGGGTTTCACCATGTTAGCCAGGCTGGTCTTGAGCTCCCGACCTCAAGTGATCCACCTGCCTCAGTCTCCAAAAGTGCTGGGATTACAGACGTGAGCCACCATGCCCAGTCCCCTGATAAACTTAAGCCTGTGGATCTCAGTTTGAGAACCTATGCCTTAAAGATTATCTTCAACCGTAAAGTTTGTACATAAGGGCTTTAAAGTTATTTCCAACAAAGGCTTTTTAACTATTTAAGTAAATATTAATGTCTGTGCCCATCGCAGACTTTCAGAATCTAATGGTGTAAGCAGAACTCAGTTGGAGGGATAGATGCATGTTTTTCTGTTATAGCTCAGTGGAAAAGAGTTACAATTAATAGATTAATTGCCAATTAAATGGTTTAAATTCAGTTAGAGGAAGTCTGTTTAAAGCATGCCTTACTCCAAAGTGTTACCTGTATGCAGTATGGGTTTCTGAAGATAGTTGTTTCTTATGTTTGGTTTAAATGTGATTGATTCCTATTAATTCAGTGCCTTCGTGTTTGGTAAGAAAGCAGGTACCTGTGATAAAGCTAGTTCTACTTTAATATAAATTCATCTAGCAGAAATCAGATTTTAAGGTTTTGTTTTATTTCTGGAAGGACCAGCATCCATGAATTTAAAGAATTAGGGCAAAATTTAGCTCCTTAATTAGTTTATACTTTATTGCATGATAATCTTGTAGGATGTGGGTGTTGATGAAGTAGTGCAAAAAGCAGCTGGACTAGAAACCAGCAGTTCTTTTCTGCTACAAAAAAACCCAGTGACCTTGGATGAGTCACTTAATCTTCTGGGCTTTTTGCTTATCTATAAAGCAGGGAGGTTGAACTCCTACACTTGTATTATTAAAGTTCTCATATCTTATAATTCTAAAACATATCTACCATTAAGTAAGTTAGCACAGTGATCAACATGGCCCAATCTGTTGGTCTTCATGCTTGGCACAATGCAGAATATAACAGTTCTGGATTCAGGGAGATAACGGGTATTTGTGCTAGCTAGCCTGGAATGGAAAAACAATGAGTATTCATTAGATTTAGTGTCCAGTAGGTTGAGAGGTGAATTGCAGGAAGAGGCCCAGAGAAACCCTCAGCCCAGCAGGAGAGACAGCCTTCACTGGCAAGGCAGAGTCTAGGATAGATCCTTGAAGAGAAAAACCAAGACCCTGAGATACATGAAAGCAGATGTCTAGTTTTCCAGATTCTATAGCATCAAAAAGTTTGATAATTGATGTTAGCGATGTTTATGTGTCATGAAAAGTTTAAAATTACTTTGCATTTTAGTGACTTATAACACACAGAAATGCATATTATATTTTGGAATAATTTCTGTTAAATATGGTTGAAATAAAAATTGTTTGAGACCAGCTACTGTGGCTCACGCCTGTAATCCCAGCATTTTGGGAGGCCGAGGTGGGCAGATCACCTGAGGCCAGAAGTTCGAGACCAGCCTGGCCAACATGGTGAAACCCGTTTCTACTAAAAATACAAAATTAGCCAGATGTGGTGGTGTACACCTGTAATCTCAGCTACTAGGAAGGCTGAGGAAGGAGAATTGCTGAGGCAGGAGGTGGAGGTTGCAGTGAGCTGAGATCACGCCACTGCCTGGATGGCAGACGAGACTCTGTCTCAAAAAAAAAATTATTTATTGGATTGTTATCAAGAAAATTCATCCAGGTGGAACTTCTTACTCCCTCTGATGCTAGAAAGAAATGGGAAGGCTACCTTTTCTGTGATTTGGTTAAATGGCAGTTTGTGAAAGAAAAAATGAATTAAGTTAAATTAGTGCACTTTTTTTTTTTTTTTTTGAGGTGGAGTCTTGCTCTGTCACCCAGGGTGAAGTGCAGTGGTGTGGTCTCGGCTCACTGCAACCTCCGCCCCCCAGATTCAAGCGATTCTCCTGCTTCAGCCTCCTGAGTAGCTGGGATTATAGACGTGCTGTAATTTTTGTACTTTTAGTAGAGACGGGGTTTCACCATCTTGGCCAGGCTGGTCTTGTCTCGGCTCACTGCAACCTCTGCCCCCCAGATTCAAGCGATTCTCCTGCCTCAGCCTCCCAACTAGCTGAGATTATAGATGTGCTGTAATTTTTGTACTTTTAGTAGAGACGGGGTTTCACCATCTTGGCCAGGCTGGTCTTGAACTCCTGACCTCATGATCCACCCGCCTCGGCCTCCCAAAGTGCTGGGATTATAGGCGTGAGCCACCGCGTCCAGCTAAATGAGTGCACTTTTAAACTATTTGCTCCTTAGCTTCCTTCTGGAGATAATTGAGAGTTGACTCCTTTTAGTGTTGTGCTTACTATTAAAGAAACAAAACTTTCTCAACTGAGATAAAGTACAATATTTCATTTACAAGGCTGGACACAGTGGCTAATGCCTGTAATCCCAGCACTTTGGGAGGCCGAGGCAGGTGGATCACTGGAGGCCTGGAGTTTGAGACCAGCCTAGCCAACACAGTGAAATGCCCGTCTCTACTAAAAACAGGAAAAATTAGCTGGACATGGTGGTCCGTGCCTGTGATCCCAGCTACTCAGGAGGCTGAGGCATGAGAATCACTTGAGCCTGGGAGGCGGGGGTTGCAGTGAGCCAAGATCGCACCACCGCACTCTGCACATGGCGACAGAATGAGACTGTGTCTCAGAAAAAAAAAAAAGAGATTGCATTTGCAGTTTATGTTCTTAAGAATTTGTTTCTTTATACGCATGGGAGTTGAATACTGATGAGTTTGATTTTTCACATTTGTAGCAAATGAAGTTTAGTTGGATACAACACAGTTTTTGTTAACTAGCATAAATATATAACCTTGAAAATCTGTTTACAGGATTTAAAATTAGGTCGGGTGCAGTGGCTCACGCCTTTAACCCCAGCACTTTGAGAGACCGAGGCGGGTGGATCATTTAAGGTCAGGAGTTCAAGACCAGCCTGGCCAACATGGTGAAACCCTGTCTGTACTAAAAATATAGAAAATTAGCCAGTCCTGGTAGTGAACACCTGTAATCCCAGCTACTAAGCAGGCTGAAGCAGGAGAATCACTTGAACCTGGGAGGCGGAGGTTGCAGTGAGCCGAGATTGTGCCACTGCACTGCAGCCGGGGCGACAGAGTAAGACTCCGTCTCAAAAAAAAAAAAAAAAAAAAGTAAATTAATGTATAATTGATATTTTTATTAGGCATAATTTTTTTCTCAGGTTTTCAGAAACACCTAACATAATATTTGTGCAATGTTGAGATGTGAAATAATGTAATAGGTATGATATTTTGTTTTCTAGGGTATAAAAATGTATGATAGAGGCTGGGCGTGGTGGTTCATGCCTGTAACCCCAGCACTTTGGGAGGCCGAGGTGGGCGGATTACTTGAGGTCAGTAGTTCTAGACCAGCCTGGCCAACATTGGCAAAACCACGTCTCTACTAAAAATACAAAACAAAATTAGCCAGGCATGGTGGCGGATGCCTGTAATCCCAGTTACAACAGAGGCTGAGGCAGGAGAATCATTTGAACCTGGCAGGTGGAGGTTGCAGTGAGCCGAGATTGCGCCACTGCACTTCAGCCTGGGTGACAGAGTGAGACTCTGTCTCAAAAAAAAAAAAAGTATGAAAGAATTTTATGTATTTGTGGTATTGTAGGTACATTTTAATATTTGTTATGGAAAAATCTTAAACATAGCTTTAGAGAGACTAGTATAACAAACCCATGCGTACCCATTACTAAGGTTCAATAATTATTAGAGTGGCAATTTTATGCATCTCCACTTCTACCTTCTCCCCTCATCCCTACTTTGTGTTATTTTGAATGATTCTAAACAACATATCATTTATCTATAAATATTTCAGTATGAATCTCTAATCGTGTACATGACTACTATGTCATTATCACACTTAAAAACTAATTATTCTCTGGCTGTGTGCAATGACTCACATCAGTTATTTTGTGTATAACTGAGGCGGGAGGATTGCTTGAAAGTAGGAGTTCGAGACCAGCCTGTGCAACATGGCAAGACCTCATCTTTACAAAAAATTTTTTAAAACTTAGCTCAGTGGCGGGCGCAGTGGCTCATGCCTATAATCCCAGCACTTTGGGAGGCCAAGGCAGTGGATCACTTGGGGTCAAGAGTTCAAGACCAGCTTGGCCAACATGGTGAAACCCCGTCTCTACTAAAAATATAGAAAATTAGCCAGTCGTGGCAGCGTGCGCCTGTAATCCCAGCTACTTGGGAGGCTGAGGCAGGAGAATTGCTTGAACCCAGGAGGTGGAGGTTGCATTGATCTGAGATCGCACCATTGCACTCCAGCCTGGGTAACAGAGTGAGACTCCGTCTCAAAAAAAAAAAAAAAAAAATTACCTGAACATGGTGGCATGCACCTGTGGTCCCAGCTACTGGAGAAGCTGAGGCAGCAAGATTGCTTGAGTTCTGGGACTTTGAGGCTGCAGTGAGCTGTGTTTGTGCCAGTGCACTCCAGCCAGGGCAACAGAGCAAGACTCTGTCTCAAAATAATAATAATAATAATATTTCCACTTCACACTTGTTAAGATGGCTATAATAATAGAAGACAGACAACAACACGTTGTCAAGGATGTGGAGAAATTGGAACATTCAGACTGGTGGTGGGAATGTAAAATGGTGCAGCCACTTTAGAAAACAGTTTGGCCGTTCCTCAAAAAGTTTAATATAGAATTACTGTGTGACCCAGCAGTTCCACTCCTAGATACCCAACGTAATTGAAAACGTAAGTCTACACAGAAGCTGTATACAAATGTTCACAGGATTGATCATTATTCATTATAGCTGAAAAACAGAAACAATTCAAATGCCCTTCCGCTGATGAATAAACAAAAATTAGTATGCCCATACAATGGCATATTATTCATAAAAATAAACAAGGTTTTGGCCGGGTGCAGTGGCTCATGCCTGTAATCTCATCACTTCAGAAGGCCAGGGCAGGCGGATCACTTGAGGCCAGGACTTTGAGACCAGCCTGGCCAACATGGCAAAACCCCATCTCTACCAAAAATACAAAAATTAGCTGGGCATGGTGGCGCACACCTATAGTCCCAGCTACTTGGGAGGCTGAGGCAGGAGAGTCGCTTGAACCAGGAGGTGGAGGTTGCAGCGAGCTGAGATTGTGCCACTGCACTGCAGCCTGGGCAACAGAGTGAGACTCCATCTCAAGAAAAAAAAAAAAAAGCAAGATTTTGCTAACATGCCACAACATGGATGAACATTCAAAACATGCTAAGTGAAAGAAACCAGACACAAAAGAGCACATGTAGTATGCGTCTATTTATGTAAAAATGTCTAGAATAGGCAAATTCATTGGGAAAGTAAATTAATGATTATCTAGGGCTGGAGGAGGGGAGAATGGGGGAGAGCTGACTGCTAATGGATACAGGGTTTCTTTTTGGGATGATGAAAATGTTCTAGAATTAGTGGTGACTGATGAACAACCCAGTGAATATACTAAAACCACTTTAAGAACATTTTAAAGTTTTTTTAAAGACATCAGCTCAGTCTGTTACCTAGGCTGGAGTGCAGTGGTGTGATCACGGCTCAATGCACTCTTCAACTCCTTGGGTGCTCAAGTGGTTCTCCCACTTCAGCCTCCTGAGTAGCTAGAACTGTAGGCACACGGCATCGTGTGTGTCTATTTTTTTTAAAAAAATTTTTAGTAGAGATGGGATCTCACTATGTGGCCCAGGCTATTCTTGAACTCCTGAGCTCAAGTGATCCATCCTCCCTGGCCTCCCAAAGTATTGGGATTACAGGGGTGAGCCACCGCGCCTGGCCTTAAAAAGTTTTTTTTTTAAAAAAGTTTGCTCGAATTAGGATCCACATCAACTAATACTTTGTAAGTGATTCACAGTGCTTCTCAAATCTTTACTATATATTGCCTTTCCCTTTTATCATTAAAAAAATACTGCAAGCCGGGTGCAGTGGCTAATGCCTGTAATCCCAGCACTTTGGGAGGCCGAGGTGGGCGGATCACCTGAGGTCAGGAGTTGAAGACCAGCCTGACTAACATGGAGAAACCCAGTCTCTACTAAAAATACAAAATTAGCTGGGCATGGTGGCACATGCCTGTAATCCCAGCTATTAGGGAGGCTGAGGCAGGAGAATCGCTTGAACCTGGGAGGCGGAGGTTGCTGTGAACCGAGATTGCACCATTGCACTCCAGCCTGAGCAACAAAAGCGAAACTCCGTCTCAAAAAAAAAAAAAAAAAAAAAAAAAACTACTACAATTTTTTTTTCTTCTTTAAGATGGAGTTTCACTCTTGTTGCACAGGCAGGAGTGCAGTGGTGCCATCTCGGCTCACTGCGACCTCCAGCCTCCCGGCTTCAAGCGATTCTCCTGTCTCAGCCTCCTGAGTAGCTGGGATTATAGATGCGTGCCACCACACCTGGCTAATCTTTTCTATTTTTAGTAGAGATGGGATTTCACCATGTTGGCCAGGCTGGTCTCAAACTCCTGACCTCAAGTGATCCTCCTGCCTCGGCCTCCCAAAGTGCTGGGATTACAGACATGAGCCACTGCGCCCGGCCAAAATACTGCAGTTTATTTGTTGAAGAAAGCCGCTTGTTTGTTCCATAACTTTTTAGTTTGAACTTTGCTGATTGCATTCCCAAGGTGCGTATTAACACAGTCCTCTGTGTTTTCTCTTTGCACTGCATTGGTTGCTAGAATTAGAGGTTCAGTCGTATTTAAGTATACTTTATTTGGAATTGGGGAATGCAAGACTACATCATAAGGGAGTTCTGTTCTGTCATTAGGAGACTCATATTGTCTGGTTATCTCACTTTTGTGATGATTGATTTTTGCCTCAACCTGTGGGGCTTGGCTGGAGTGCAATGGCACGATCTCGGCTTACCGCAACCTCCACCTCCTGGGTTCAAGTGATTCTCCTGCCTCAGCCTCCCAAGTAGCTGGGATTACAGGCATGAACCACCACGCCAGGCCATTTTTGTATTTTTAGTAGAGACGGGGTTTTAACATGTTGGCCAGGCTGTTCTCAAACTCCTGACCTCAGGTGATTCGCCCACCTCAGCCTCCCAAAGTGCTAGGATTACAGGCATGAGCCACTGCGCCTGGCTCTAGGTTAATTTTGAGAATTGAATAGGTATAGTGATGATTAAGTTAGGAAATACTCACCAAGTTCTATATTTTGAGCTTTTATTTGGTTTTAAAATTGTTCCCTGAAATTCTTTGTTTGCAGTTTGCATGAGTTTAGTTATTATAGATTTTAGAGGGAAATTAAAACATGTAGAAATTTATAGTTATGTACCTAGGTGGTTTTGGTGAGTGAAATTTTAACTTTTCTAATTCTTGGGAGAAAGTACTAGTGGTTCCCTGCCTTTCCTCCCAATTTAGGGCAGCCATGTTGCTCTCTTGCCACCTGGTGGCAGCATATTACAGTTTAAAAGTTATTAAGCCTTTTGAGAATATAATTATATAAAAAAAAAGTCAAGTGGGAGTGGGAAGTTACTGCTTACTGGGTACAGGGTTTTTGTTGGGGGCAACAAAAAAGTTTTGGAAATAGAGTGATGATGGTTGCACAACTAAGCTTTATAATTGGGTTTCGAAGAGTTAGGTTCATGCCACTGAATTTATGCTTAAAAATGGTTAAAATGGTGAAGTTTATGTATATTCTACCACAATAAAAAATACAAAAGAAAGGGATAGCCTTATGATAGTATATGATCGCATATAAATACATGAGGGAATTCAATAGTGCAGTTCCTGTGAACAGAGCGAATATGTTTGTCAATACTATGTATTTTATGGGGAGAAAGACCTAGACCAGCCTTTAAATCAGTGAGCTTCCAAAATTATATCAAATAGCAGAACTATGAAAAATAAAACATGATATTGGAACTCCTGAGTGAGAAGTCCACAAAGCTTCTTCCATCCAGTTGAGCAACTTCCCCTGCTTCTGCTTAATTGTAGGACCTGCAAATGTTTTTGTGTTTGTTGTTTACGAGATAAGGTCTAGGCTGGGAGCGGTGGCTCATGCCTGTAATCCCAGCACTTTGGGAGGCCGAGGTGGGCGGATCACAAGATTCGGAGATCGAGACCATCCTGGCTAACACGGTGAAACCCCGTCTCTATTAAAAATACAAAAAATTAGCCGGGCGTGTTGGCACGCGCCTGTAGTCCTATCTACTTGGGAGGCTGAGGCAGGAGAATTGCCTGAACCCAGGAGTCGGAGGTTGCAGTGAACCGAGATCGCGCCACTGCACTCCAGCCTGGGCGACAGAGTGATGCTCCATCTCAAAAAAAAAGGAAAAAAAAGAGAGAGATAGGGTCTCACTCTGTCACCCAGGCTGGAGTGCACTGGCACAATCACTGCTCATTTCAACCTCAGACTCCTGGGCTCAAGTGATCCTCCTGCCTCAGCCTCCCAAATATCTAGGATTATAGGTGTGTGCTACCATACCTGGCTGTTTATTTTATTTTTTGTAGAAATGAGGTCCTGCTGTGTTACTCAGGCTGGTCTCAAACACTTTGCCTTGATATCCTCCTGCCTAAGCCTCCCAAATGTTTTAAACCATGGCAAGTCTCTGAGTAGTTCTTGTGTAAATGGTGATACAGAAAAAATAATTCTACCAAAAAGCCATTATTAATAAGAGTTACAAGTATTTGTAGAGGAGATCTAGGTATCAGTTGTATGTTTTAACTGGTTTATAGTTTGGGTCTATTTCTTTCTTTCTTTCTTTCTTTTTTAATTTTTTTGAGACGGAGTCTCGCTTTGTCGCCCAGGCTGGAGTGCAGTGGCACAATCTTGGCTCACTGCAACCTCCACCTCGCTGGTTCAAGCAATTCCCTTGCCTCAGCCTCCCGAGTAGCTGGGATTGCAGGCGCCCAGCTAATTTTTTTGTATTTTTAATAGAGACAGGGTTTCACCATGTTGGCCAGACTGGTCTCAAACTCCTGACCTCAGGCAGTCCGCCCGCCTCTGTCTCCCAAAGTGCTGAGATTACAGGCTGAGCCACCGCGCCCGGCCCATTTGGGTCTGTTTCAACCTGAGATAATATATTTAGAACTTATCTGGGGGTGGGGCAGGCAATTTCTGAAGAACTTTGAATTTCAGAGCTGGAAGGCACTTTACATTATCTAGTTCTGCCTCTTCATTTTAAAGGTGTAAATACTGAGTTGCGGAGAGATTGACTTGAATAATATCACACAACTAGTCAGTTATTGATAGGGCTGGACTATTTGTACTATACCACCACTACTTTATAGCACAGATTTACCAAAAAGAAAACAGCTCTCTGCATGTGTCTAAGGACAGGACTAGTATTTGTTGTTTGTTGTTTCCCTTGTTTTCTTTTTCCTGATGATAATTGTGAGGTTCGTTTTTCAATATCAATCTCTGGTAACCAGAAGATTAAGTCAGCTAGAACATACAGCTCTGAGAAGTCTGGTTAAGAAGATTCTGCTATATTTGATCATTTATGTTTACATTTGTGCTTGCCTAATACTTAGATATAGTTTATCACAATGAATACAAACATAGTGGCTGCAGGGATATGGTTGGTTTGGGGTGGTAGATTGCTGGCCCAGGCCTTAAGAAGACCAGTTCTGTCCTCACTCTGCCCTCACCCTGTCATTAAGTTTCTGTGTGCCTTTGGGTAAGTCACCTCCCCTTTTGTGCTTGGTGTAAAATTGTAGATGTGATGAGCTTTAAAGGCTCTTTTCAGCACTGCAGAGCTGCATGTAGGCTTCAATATTACAGTGATGAATTGCCCTCTGTTATACTTCTAGTTCAGAAGAACTTAGGGGGTAGAAGCCGCTGCTCTTGGTTGCCTATGAGAGTAGTTAATGCACACAGTGAAAACAAAACCCAATTATGAAGTTCAGTTGAATGCATTTTCATTTAGTCCTATTAATACAGTTAGTAATTCTTCCCAGTGTTAAAATCTCAAGCTTCCTCTTGGTCTGGACCCTAAGGTCATTGAGTTTGAGAGAAAGCAAATGGTAGTTGGCCATTCTTCCTATGTTTACATTTCTGTAGGTACTCAGTTGTTATTTTGAATACTGTACCAAGTATCCTAAGACAGCTGAAGAGTTCAGATTATATTAAAATGCATATTTTCATTAGGCTTCTTCGGTGGCTTATTCCTTTCCTTAGTACCTGTTTTAGCAGGTTGGTTGTTACTGACCACTTACTAGTATTATATATTATCAGATGCCTACACATTTAGGGCTTGAGGTGTGCAGCTATTTACTGCTGATTTGGAATCCTTTAGAGATAGCAGAATTTTAGTTAGAAATTCGTCTCCTGAATTTACGGTAAATGAATTCGTATCATGGCTTTCCATTCAGGACTGTTTAATACCTACTGTGTGCCCAGCACTGTCCTAGGCTTTTAATCAATTCATGTAAGTCATGGCTTCTGCTCTCAAGCAACTTTTGGTCTAGAAGGAGAAGCAAAACAGTGTGATGTATTGTGATAGGTGTATGCAGAGGTCTGTGTAAATACAGGAGGAGTCATCTAAAATTGGGCTATTAGGTCACAGTGATGAGACTCCTTACTCAAAATTTTTGGCCACACTTAATCACAAGCACTTAATCAGATTTAAATTTTTTTTTTTTTTTTTGGAGACAGTCTTGCCCTGTTGCCCAGGCTGGAGTGCAGTGACACGATCTCAACTCACTGCAACCTCCATCTCCTGTGTTCAAGCAATTCTCCTGCCTCAGCCTCCCAAGTAGCTAGGAATACAGGCATCCGCCACCACACCCAGCTATGTTTTTTTTTTTTGTATTTTTGGTAGAGACGGTTTCACCACATTGGCCAGATTGGTCTCGAACTCCTGACCTCAAGTGATCCGCCCACCTCAGCCTCCCAAAGTGCTGGGATTACAAGCATGAGCCACCATGCCTGACTTTTTTTTTTTTTTTTTTTTTTTTTTTTTCTTGAGGCGGAGTCTCACTCTGTCGCCCAGGCTGAAGTGCAGTGGTGCAATCTCGGCTCACTGCAACCTCTGCCTCCTGGGTTCAAGTGATTCTTCTGCCTCAGCGTCCCGTGTAGCTGGGATTACAGGCGGGGGCCATCATGCCTGGCTAACTTTCTGTGTTTTTAGTAGAGACGGGGTTTCACCATGTTGCCCAGGCTGGTCTCAAACTCCTGACCTCAAGTGATCCTTCTGCCTCAGCTTCCCAAAGTGTTGGGATTACAGGCGTGAGCCACTGCGCCTGGGCCGATGTGTATTTCAACTTAATAAAGTGTTTTCAGATTTAATTTGTACTTTAATAAAAGAAAGAAAGAAACAGTTGTTTCCAAACCATTCCCTTGTCCCAAATTTTCTTGTGCAGGAAACACAGGGGAGAAAAAAGCATTTCATGTAAACTGTTGTACTGAATTTCTGTTGTCCTCAACTCTTACAGATTGTTGGGAGAAGCCTTGCTGTTTATATGAGTGCTTCATATTAACTGGTTTCCTTCAAACTCCAGGAACAGAAACTAACCCTTTTTGTGATACAAATCAGTGTAACATTCCCAGAGTTTGTACTTGAGGGGCCAGAATTCTTAGCAGAGGCTGCTGGCATAGTTAACGCTTGGGCAGGGCTAAGTCACTGGGAAACTGCCTGACATGATCAGAGGTTCAGGTGTGCTCATGGACCACACAGAACAGCCTGAGAGTTTGTAGCACATCACAAAGCTTGGTGGACTTCCCTGTGTAAGAGCCAAAACTTTGTTTAAGAGGCGGGAAAGATGGAAGACAAGGACTGGATTCAAGCAGAATGCACGTGGGAGAATAAAACAACTCAGGGACTAAGTGCTACACTGTGTGGCAACGGCTCTGAAGTTCCACATCAGGGGGAATCGTTTGAGCCTGATAGTTGAAAGGGAGAAGAATCTGAATACATTTTTCCCTAGGCTGTCATTTCAGGTGACATGTTAAAGCTGTGGTGTTTTGTGACACCTTACGGTGTCTTGTGACACTCCTTGATATCAGCTGGCAATCTGAAGTAGTAGATTGAAAAACTGGAGTAAGGAGTTGTCGGCTGGCTTTTCAGAGAGCTGCATGCCTCCTTACTTTAGAGGAGTCTTTTACCAGCTAGTTCTCTCTACCCTTCACCATCCTCCAGTGGTTCTGGCTTGTGGTTTGATTCCCCTGTCTTAGCATGGACTGTTTCACTCTCTCTCATCCCAACTCCAATTTATTCATAAGCATCTCTATACCCGTATGGGTTCCATTGCTTTCATACATATGGTGACCAGTTATCCAAACTCAAATTGTGTAGAAGGTCTGATGAAGGAATTTAGTTGTAAAATTATTAATATGAAAAAGAATGCAACAAATAAGTAATTATGCAGTTAAATAACCATTATTGAAAAGAAAAACATGAAATCATATGTCTCAAAATTGGGGGCACCTGGCCACAAAATCTACTTTGTATGACTCTTGTCTTTATCCTTACCATGTTCAACTTCTCTGCTACGTTCAAATTTTCCCAGAAAGCATTTCATGATCAACTTCATTCTACCTGGATTTTTTTCTGTTCTTTGGTTCCAGTACTTGCTATTTATTGCTGATAGGTTGTCTGTAAGTGCGTACCTTCTCTGTCATTCTAGAATGGAAGCATCATGTCACAACAGACTGTCCCATCGCAAAAGACGGTGAAGTGTCACCCTTGTGGATGCTGAACCCCAGTGGGGCTCCAGGTGTTCTGGGTCCCCTAGCATAGTCCAGGAGATTTGAACCTTTGTAGTTTATGCAGGATTTGTTTGGGTCTGAGGGATAGTGGATTAACCAGAAATCTCTGGCGATCACTGATAGGTCTCAAAAAAAAAAAAAAAAAAGAGAATGGCTCTTAAAGCTGCAGTATGAAACTATTTTAAATTTTCAGGTTACTAAAGAGCACTAATGGCATTTTATTTGAGGGGTGTGGTATTCCCTTATTTATTCAAATCTTTTTTTGAGACAGGGTTTTCACTCCTATCTCCCAGGTTGGAGTGCAGTGGTGCGATCTCAGCTCACTGCAACCTCTGCCTGCTGGATTCAAGTGATTTTCCCACCTCAGCCTCCCAAGTAGCTGGGACTATAGGTGTGCACCACCACTTCTGGCTAATTTTTGTATTTTTGGTAGAGATGGGATTTCAGTATGTTGGTCAGGCTGGTCTCAAACTCCTGACCTCAAATGATCTGCCTGTTTCAACCTCCCAAAGTGCTGGGATTACAGGCATGTGCCATCATGCCTGGCCTTTTTCTTGATTTTTAATTGAACTTCCTGTTAATCACTCTTATTTTTCTTCAGCTTTTAAGTTCCAGGGTACAAGTGCAGGAAATGCAGGTTTGTTACATAGGTAAACGTGTGACATGGTGGTTTGCAGCACAGATTAACCTATCACCTTGGTATTAAGCCCAGCATCCATTAGCTATTCTTCCTGATGCTCTCCCTTCCCCCCAACCTGCAACCCTCATTTTTTTTTCTTGAAACCCTTTGCCTTTGGTTTCAGTGAACTGTTCTATCCTGATCTTTCACCGTCCTTTTTTAAAATTACTTCTTTTCAGGTGCTTTTGTGGCTTTTTCTTTGTCCATGTCCTAAATCAAGAATGGCTAGCTGACTGTCAAATCTTGTTTGCAGATGTTTTATTGGCCCTCAGAGTGTTTTGAAAACATTATTGTAGTTGCTAACAATAAAAATATTTAAAATCTGAATGTGTGGCTTTTTTGGGGAAAAGATGACCTGGCTTCACTTCGGTGTCCATTTTCCTGTGGCAGTGATCATTAGAGCTGCTCTTCTGGGAGGGGAACATGCTGGCTCCAGCCTGCTTGGTTCTGTCGAGTGACTTCACTCATTCATTAGCCAAAAGTTGACTGTAGTTAATTTTGTCTCTGTACATTTCAATTTGCAACACCTATCTTCTGTGTATATTCACCATGTTCTTATCCGTAACCTCCTGTTTTCTCTCCACTCGCTCTCCCTGAGCACCTCTGTTCCCATTAGTCATGGAAACCAGATGGATGAGTCTGTTTACCATCCTATTTTTTTTCAGTTCAGTGGTTATGCCTGCCTTTCAGCGTTTAAGTTCATTTCTTTTTTGCATTTTAATTACATTCTTTTTGTTGCTTTCTGGTCTATATGGTTTGATGGCTTGAAATAATTTTCCAGCATTGAATGTTAGTTAAGTCTTTATCTATTTGTAGTGATTCCTAATTGTCATTTTGTCATTTGAGTCTTCTGTGTCCCAACAACTGAGTGGTTGTTGTATTGTGCATATAAATAATATAAAGATAGAATTGCTTTGTTTTTCCTTTTTAATGTAAATATATAGCATTGATATTTTTCTCACTCTTGCAACTTTCAGCCATTGCTTTAATATCTTCGTGTGAAAATCGGTCTTTGAGGTTTATGCTATTTTTCCCTATAACCCCTTTTTGCTGTCTTCTATTAAAGCTCTAGGCACAGACATTTCTCTCATCCTGCACCCCTCAATTCATCAGAGATTTTATTATCTGGCTCACAGTGTTGCTGTCCCCACTCCAGGTCTTGCCATCACTATGCCTGCGGACAATCCATTTAATATTTCACTCTCTAGGAGCTTAATCTATGTGGAGATAACAAACATATTAAAAACAGTATGATACTTAAAAATAACGTTTTAAGGCATCCATAGAAGTGGCATAAGCCTGTGTTTGAAACAAAGCCGTAATTGGGGGATGGACACCTCTTTTCTTCTAGGTTCACATTTCCATGTGGAGGGACATCACTGTGTAATTCCCTTGGCTTCTCTTTGCGCCCAGAGGAGGACTTACTAATCTCATTGAAGAATTTGGGTGAGCAACTAGGCAGGGCTTAGGAGCCAGCCACTTGTAGCCTATTCTTGGAAGCTGCAAATTTTCCAGAAACAGATCTCTATGTGGGTAGGCCTATAGTTTTCCAACTGCTACTGTTATTGGGTGAGCGAATTGCTCAATTCCAGCAGACACTTATTTTTTTGAGACTGAGCCTCTCTCTGTTGCCAGGCTAGAGTGCAATAGCACGATCTCGGCTCGCTGCAACCTCTGCTTTCCAGGTTCAAGTGATTCTCCTTCCTCAGCCTCCCGAGTAGCTGGGACTATAGGGCGTGCCACCACACCCGGCTAATTTTTGTATTTTTAATAGAGATGGGGTTTCACCATGTTAACCTGGATGGTCTCGATCTCCTGACCTCATGATCCGCCCGCCTCGGCCTCCCAAAGTGCTGGGATTACAGGCGTGAGCCACTGCGCCTGGCAGGTGTCTTTAATTTTTAATGTATTTTTAAAATATGAGCTTTATAATTAAGCTGACAGTTTGGTCACTATCTGACTTTTTTGGTCATATTTCTCCCTTTTTCCAGAAATGAGTGGGTAGGTGGATGGAGGGAAGGGATTTTATTTAATGAACCCCCAAGCTCCAATAGTAGTCATTGCTAAAAGTTCATAGGGGAGATGATACCATCTAGCTTTTTTGAGGCTTGAGTTGGATATTGAGGGATGGCAGAATTGAGGTAGAGTTTTAAAGATGGGTCTAACAGTATGAGAACATTCAGTCAGATTACGGTGAGTTCAAAGAACAGGAAGTTGACAGCCGGTTTGAGCTAAGGCTTTGGCAAGAGTTGGTAGTGATGAGATTAGGAAGATTGGAATGCCTGATGGACAGATTTGACTCTCCCCCTCCCCCCCTTATAAGTAGGAGGAAGCTATTGATGGTTCCTATGTAGGGGAATGACAAGGTTAAACTGATGTATTCAGAAAGAATTATCATTAGTGTCTAAGAGTAGGCTAATATTCAGTGATAATAAATAGGTTTATAATCTGATGTTCACTGTAAATCAGTTTGGAAGTACAAATGCCTTAATATACTAGAAAATAATCTTTCTTAGAAGTTGTCATTCCTTAAATAGCTGTGATTTCTTTGAACAGAAGGTCAATTCCCAGGCTAATTTAGATGGACTTGAGGTGTCATAGAGCAATAGTGTTAACTTCCCAAAGCAAGCCTTTTTGAAAGAGGTGCACAAGTTGTTGTTTTTAATTGAGGAGTATGTATATGAACGCATCTTAGACCTTTGTGGTGTTTGGTGAAATCCATCCTAGGTGATATTATATTATAATCAGTATTTTAAAAGATTTGGGGCCAGGCGCGGTGGCTCACGCCTGTAATCCCAGCACTTGGGAGGCCGAGCTGGGTGGATCACGAGGTCAGGAGTTCAAGACCAGCCCAGCCAGTGTGGTGAAACCCCGCTCTACTAAAAATAGAAAAATTAGCCGGCATGGTGGCGCGTGCCTGTAATCCCAGCTCCTCAGGAGGCTGAGGCAGGAGAATCGTGTGAACCCAGGAGGCGGAGGTTGCAGTGAGCTGAGATCATGCCATTGCACTCTAGCCTGGGTGACAGAGTGAGACTCCATCAAAAAAAAAAAAAAAATTGGTAATTTAGTAACCCAGAACAGATGAAAAGCCTGCAAAATGAAATTATGTAAATTTTATCTTTCACTTAGCTGACATTCTTGGAGAGTTTTTGTTGCATATAAATAGCTAAGGTCACAATAAGTGTCTGCTGGGATGGACAAAGGCCTTTTTGTAACCTTAGTACATTACAAAATAGAAAAAGGTATGTTCTTTTCCATTGAGCTTTTTCTTTCTCATCTTTTCTTCTAACACCCTCTTTCCTCCCAGGACCCGACTCTCCCACTCCATAGTCACTATTGGGGTTAAAGGAGCCATGCTCAACTTAGCCTTGAGTGTATTAGATTGGCAGGCAGGTGGAGTAAAAATGTGTCTGCCCATGGAGTTTTCAAGACTGTCAGACCATGAGGCATTTGGGGGGAATAAAAGTGTTGCATAGGAAGGTTAAAGCTGACCTCGTGATCCACCCAGCTCAGCCTCCCAAAGTATCTGAGATTATGTAAGTGCCTTGTGTGAATAATTTTCATTTTACTAGTGGTTTTTTCCTTTTGTTATTGGTTTTTAATTAAGCAAATAGTGCTTAATATTGTAGAAGATGCAAACAATACAAAATAGATCAATGTGTCCTCAGTTCCATTGTCCTTTTCAAGGATAATTACTGTGAGCAGTTTGTATGTATTTCTAGTCTCTATGTTTAGATAACAGGGCCTTATTTATTTATTCTGCAACTTGCTTTTTTTTTCCACTTAACAGTATATTTTGGTAACTTTTCCATGTCAGTAACTTTTTCTTTTCTTTTTTTTCTTTCTTTTTTTTTTGAGATGGAGTTTCGCTCTTGTTGCCCAGGCTGGAGTGCAATGGCACAATCTTGGTTCACTGCAACCTTTGCCTCCCAGGTTCAAGTGATTATCCTGCCTCAGCCTCCCTAGTAGCTGGGAATACAGGCACCTGCCACCACACGCGGTTAATTTTGTATTTTTAGTAGAGACTGGGTTTTGACATTTGGTCAGGCTCCTGACCTCAGGTGATCCGCCCATCTCCCAAAGTGCTGGGATTACAGGTTACAGGCGTGAGCCACTGCGCCCTGCCACTTTTTCTTTTTTTGAGGCAGAGTCTTGCTGTGTTGCCCAGGCTGTAGTGTAGTGGCATGATCTCAGCTCACTGCAACCTCTACCTCCCAGATTCAGGTGATTCTCCTGCTTCAGCCTCCCAAGTACCTGGGATTATGGGCACGAGCCACCACACCTGGCTGATTTTTGTATTTTTAGTAGAGACAGGGTTTCACCATGTTGGCCAGGCTGGCCTCGAACTCCTGACCTCAAGTGATCTGCCCACCTTAGCTTCCCAAACTGCTGGGATTACAGGCATGAGCCACAGTGCCTGGCCCATGTCAGTAACTTTAAGGCAGGCTGTATAATAAATAGTATATAGATATCAATGGATACCAATAAAATGTTCTCAGTTACAAATTATGCCAGACAAATTTGTGGTGATTTGGAGAAAGGAGATTGGTACTGTTAGCATTTTCTATTGATAAGTTTTTTTTTTTTTTTTTTTTTGAGACAGAGTCTCACTGTGCTGCCCAGGCTGGAGTACAGTGATATAATCTCGGCTCACTACAACCTCCACCTCCCAGGTTCAAGCGATTTCTCTAGTAGCTGGGACTAAAGGTGTGTGCCACCATGCCCGGCTAATTTTTGTGTTTTTAGTAGAGACGGGGTTTTGCCATGTTGGTCAGGCTAGTCTTTAACTCCTGACCTCTAGTGATCCTCCCACCTCAGCCTCCCGAAGTGCTGGGATTACAGACTTGAGCTACCATGCCTGGCTATTTTCGATTGATATAGGAATAACCACTTATTAACCATTTTCTGTGCCACAGTGCTGTGTTCTTTACATACGTCATATAAGCTTCGCAACAACCTTGTATCATAGGTGTCACACCTCTTTGAAGGTAAGGAAAAAAAAATGAGGGTCACTTGTTCAAGATCTAAGGTTTCACAGCTAACGAATAGAAGGACAAGGATTAAAACTCAAGCCTGTCTTACTGCAAAATCTTTTTCTTTTTCACATCTCACATCTAGGTCTACATATACTATTAGCAAGTAAAGTGTTTTTCCTGCCAGTGATGTTAGAATTAGCTTGAATATAATTTTTGTATTTTAAAAATCACTTCTTGTGATGTTAGAATTAGCTAGAATATAATTTTTGTGTTCTATTTCAATAAATCACTTCTTGTTTATTTGAATTCAATAGTCCCCTCCCACCCCGCCCTCATTGCTTTTCATGCATAGCTCTATTCTGCATAGATTTGAAGTATGATAATATGAGGTGGCCCCTGTGGCTTATTTTAACCTCTTCTTCTAGTTTGTGAGAGTAGAGAGCACTTAATATAAATGTGTGTTTAGCAGTACTCAAGGCTGAGAGAAATCTCTGATAATAGTTCCTAAGCTCTCATGTCCATGTTGTAAAATATTTTGCCCCATGTATTGTTTGCCCTTCTCTAGGCCCCTAGCTCTCTAAGGTAGTGAGAGGAGGAGAGAGGACATCTCTTCCCGAGCAGGGGAAGATGTCAAGTCTCTCACCTATTCAGCTGGGTAAGAGGAGATTCTTTCTTTCAGGTAGAAATACCATTGTCATCCCACTCCCTTTTTAGCTTTGTATAAGTAAATGCCTGAGTGTGCTAACCTATCTAGGTCTTTTGTTCAGCACCGTGAAGCTTTGCTATTGTAGACAAAAACACTGAATGTACTGAAACTCTTCTGCTTGTAAGTGTGTATTGGGATAAGGTGTGGAGGGAGGAATCTTGAATATTTTAGAACAGGGTTGTCCAATCTTTTGGCTTCCCTGGGCCACATTGGAAGAAGAAGAATTGTCTTGGGGCACACATAAAATACACTAACACTAACGATTGCTGATGAGCTTAAAAAAAATCACAAAAAAAGTCTCTTAATGTTTTAAGAAAGTTTATGAATTTGTGTTGGGCTGCATTCAAAGCCTTCCTGGGCTGCATGCAGCCCATGGGTCACGGGTTGGACAAGCTTATTTAGAGTATCGGATCTACCTTTTGAGAATCTTGGACTACTTTGAAGGTCTGATAAAAAGCAACACCCTTGGCTGGACATGGTGGCTCACTCCTGTAATCCCAGCACTTCGGGAAACTGAGATGGGAGGATCTCTTGAGCCCAGAAGTTGGGAGACCAGCCTGGGCAACATAGACCCTGTCTCTGCAAAAAATAAAAAATTAGCTGAGCCTGGTAGCACACACTTGTAGTCCCAGCTACTCGAGAGGCTGAGGCTGGAAGACTGAGCCCAGGAGGTTGAGGCTGCAGTGAGCTGTGATTGCGCCACTGCACTGCATCGTGGGGCTACAGAGTGAGACTCAGTGTCAAAGAACCCAAAACAACCAACATCCTCTACAGAAAAATGGTACATTTATGCCTACAAACCTTTTTGTAAAATTTCTTAGGCTTCACAGACTCCTGCCTAAGAATTAGCATTGGCTGCTATATCATTCTTCTTCCTCCTCTTTTAAGACCTACCTCTTAAGACTTTTCCTGTGTCTTTAATAGACTCACTGAATTGCCTTTGCACTTACAGTCTGAAGTAAACCATCTTGACAAGTTACTTTAGGGTTATTAGCTGACATGTAGGTTTTGTTTCCCTTCCTAAGTTGAAAACTGCTTAAAGGTAAGGACCATATTTTGTTGATTTTTGTCCTCCTTGCCAGCACCTAGCTCAGCCTGTCAGCTAGTAGTATTGATTTGTCTGCGCCTCTTCTTTTTTTTTTTTTTTTTCAACCTTGCTCCTTCTATAAATTTGTCTGATCTGACTTTTCTTCTTCGGTTTTTAGAATGTTGTCCTTAGAAAGCTTTGAGCTCAGGTGAAAATGATTTGTTTCCTAGATGGAGGGTAACATTTTACAACCAATGATGTGGGACTAATTTTAGGTGAGATACCCAGTAACTATAACTGACCAAGCTATGTAGATTTTTCCTCTTGAGTTGATTTACTTATATTTAGGCTCACTTGCATCATCTTCATAAAGAACCAAGAGTTAATGAGAAGATATTTTAATTGTAAGATATGTTGAGACAAAACCAAATACATTGTATGACTGGTCTGATGTTGGTTGGGGAGGGGCATCTTTGATAGTAAGATTGACACATGAATTCTCTCCCTGGTCCTGCCTTGCTCAGCTGCAGTGCCAGGAGCAAGCGTGAAGGAAAGGGCTGGAAAGGGCTGGCCGCCTGCCACTGCAGCCCAAGTGGCCTTGTTAAGCAGCCACTCATCATATCCTATTTGCCTCCTCAAATGTTTATCTGCATAGGAATAGCTAAGAGGGAAAAAGGAAGAGTCTGACCTTTGGCTTCTCTGGTGGTAGAAAACTGCCTTCTCTGTTTTAGAACTAGGAAGTCAGAAAACAGCTTTCAAAGATTACCAACCCTGGTTGCCATGGCAAAACTAAAGGATGGATGATTATCCATTTTATATTATACTTATGTTCCCATTCTTTTTTTTTTTTTTTTTTTTTGAGGAGTCTCGCTCTGTCGCCCGTGCTGGAGTGCAGTGGTGCTATCTGGGCTCACGCAAGCTCCACCTCCCGGGTCCACGCCATTCTCCTCCCTCAGCCTCCCAAGTAGCTGGGACTACAGGCGCCTGCCACCACGCCCGGCTAATGTTTTGTATTTTTAGTAGAGAAGGGGTTTCACCTTGTTAGCCAGGATGGTCTCAATCTCCTGACCTCATGATCCGCCTGCCTTGGCCTCCCAAAGTGCTGGGATTACAGGTGTGAGCCACTGCGCCCAGCTACGATTTTAAGTGTTTCTTACTATTGCGTCTGTAAGTTATATATTTTCCACAAATAATAGAAGGAAAATTGGTATAAATGAATCTAATATGATAATCTAGACTATGCTATATGAGTCTGTCATTACTATTTTAATAATAGGCAGTTATCTTTCAGAAAAGGAGCTGAATGGCTAAGCTCTTTCTAAACTGAATTGAGGTCTCTTCTTGTTTGGATTATCACTGTTTAATGTCAGCTTTCCCATTGAGATCATTTGACTTCCCTAGATATTTTTTAATGTACTTTCTCAGTATTTTACTTTTCTACCCACTCTTTACATTCTTGGCATCTCCCTTACCAAAACATCCTTTTACAACTTAATTTTGATAAAAGCCTAATTTGAATGAAAGATTTATCTATAAACTTGTTTACACAACTGTGAATATACACGCAGAGTCTATCCTTAATATTAAGTGCCTGTAGCCTCATATAGGAAGCTTAACATTTAAATGAATTGTTTTGCCATTTTGAAACAAGTGCTTTTTTAGGAAGTAAAAATCTATAGGTTCTCATGGATACAAAAAGAGTTGCAAAGAACTGGATTAGGTTTGTGGTGTATAAAAACTCCATTCAGAGTCCGGGCGCGGTGGCTCACGCCTGTAATCCCAGCACTTTGGGAGGCTGAGGCGGGCGGATCACGAGGTCAGGATATCGAGACCATCCTGGCTAACACCGTGAAACCCTGTCTCTATGAAAAATACGAAAAATTAGCCGGGCGTCGTGGCAGGCACCAGTGGTCCCAGCTACTCGGGAGGCTGAGGCAGGAGAATGACGTGAACCCGGGAGGCGGAGCTTGCAGGGAGCCGAGATCGCGCCACTGCACTCCAGCCACTCCAGCCTGGGCGACAGAGCGAGACTCCATCTCAAAAAAAAAAAAAAACCTCCATTCACTAAGGCCAAGGCACGTTCAGTGTCTTTGAACATTTAAGAACCAGTACTGATCATTAACTATTGTTTTTTCAAATTCAGTTTCTCCCTCTAAATGATGCCTGTTATTCAAACAACTATATTGACTTCACAGAATAATATAAATTATTAGAGTAAATTTCTACTTAATTTTTACTTTTTGTTTTGGAATACAAATAATTCTTAGGTATAGGTCACATCTCATTTAAAAATTACTACTCTCGTGTTTGCCTTGCATTTCAACTTGGCAACCTCAAGTATCTTTAACAATCTGCTTCATATTATAACCACTGTAATTTAGAGTAAGACCACTCTTTTCTAAAGTTTATTTTTTAAATAGGTAATATATTCGCATGGTTCAAAAATTTAAAAATAGGAAAAAGCATACAGTGAAAAGGCTTTCTTTGATGCCTGTCCTGCTTCGTTGTTCTCCCTAGACTTATAGAGACAGTGTGATCAGTTTCTATACATCTGTACCTCCGCCAGTCCCCACTTTTTTCCACAGTGGTGGCCCACTGTGCTGTTCCACACATTGCTTTGTTTCTGTGACAGTATATAGTGGAGCTTTTTCTTTATCAGTACATAAAGAGCTTCCTCTTCCCACCCACCCTCCACTTATAGTTGCAGAGTATTCTCTTATTGGTGGGCATTTAAGCCTTTAAAATAATTGATTTTACTCATTCTGTTGAGCAAATATTGATCACCTGCTATGTGCCAGGCACTATTCTTTCCACTTGGGATATAATGTATAAGGCAAGGGAATTTCCTGCCCTCATGGAGCCAGTTCTAATCTTGAGAGGCATGCAATAAACCGTGATGCATAATTTGTACACACATCAGTTTGAGGGCCAAGTATGTTTGTGAGATGTACTTTTAGGATTGGAATATCTGGTTTAAAAGTTACATGTAGGCTGGGCACGGTGGCTCATGCCTGTAATCCCAGCACTTTGGGAGGCTGAGATGGGCAGATCACCTGAGGTCAGGAGTTCGAGACCAGCCTGACCAACATGGAAAAACCCCATCTTTACTAAAAATACAAAATTAGCCAGGCATGCCTGGTGGCGCATGCGTGTAATCCCAGCTACCTGGGAGGTTAAGGCAGGAGAAATCGCTTGAACCCGGGAGGCGGAGGTTGTGGTGAGCCAAGATGGTGCCACTGCACTCCAGCCTGGGCAACAAGAGCAAAACTCCATCTCAAAAAATAAAAGTCCTTCCCCTCCTCCTCCCGTGCCCTCCCCATCCTCCTCCCCTGCCCTCCCCCTCCTCCTTCCCCCATCCCCCTCCCCCTCCTGCTCCTCTCCCCTCCCCTTCTCCCCTATCCCTTCCCCCCCTCCCCTCTCCCCTCCCCTCCCTTCCCCTTTCTCAGGCAGAGTCTCGCTCTGTCGGCAAGCTGGAGTGCAGTGGCACGATCTCAGCTCACTGTAATCTCCGCCTCCCAGGTTCAAGCCATTCTCCTGCCTCAGTCTCCCAAGTAGCTGGGATTATGGGCGCGTGCCACCACACCCAGCTAATTTTTGTATTTTTAGTAGAGATGGGGTTTCACCATGTTGGCTAGGATGGTCTCCATCTCCTTACCTTGTGATCCACCTGCCTTGGCCTCCCTAAGTCTGGAATTACAGGCATGAGCCACCGCGCCTGGCCTAAAAGTTATAAGTATTTTTCACTGAGTCAGTTAACTGCCAAATTACTCGTTTTAGAAGATGTACTACTTTATATATCTACTACTAGCAATGTTTGAGAGCCTGTTTTTTTATACCTTCTCCAATATAGTGTGTTATCAAACTTCTTGCTTTTTATTGATTTGGTGGGTGACAAGGTGTCATTTTTACTTTAATTTTTCTTTTGAGAAAAGTTTAACATTTGTATATGTCCAAAGTCATTTATATTTTCTTTCTTTTTTTTTTTTTTTTTGAGGCGAAGTCTCACTCTGTTTCCCAAGCTGGAGTGTAGTGGCACAGTCTCAGCTTACTACAACTTCCGCCTCCCAGGTTCAACCAGTTCTCCCGCCTCAGCCTCTGGAGTAGCTAGGATTACAGGTGTCCACCACGATGCCTGATCTCGAACTCCTGACCTCAAGTGATCTGCCCGTCTTGGCTTCCCAAAGTGCTGGGATTATAGGCATGAGCACTGTGCCTGGCCCTATGTTTTCTTTTTTAAAAATTTTTAAATTTTAATTTTTGTGGGTACCTAGTAGGTGTATATATTTATGGGGGTACATGAGATATTTTGATACAGGCATACAATGCCTAATAATCACATTAGGGTAAGGGGGGGGTATCCATCACCTCAAGCATTTATCCTTTGTGTTACAATCCAGTTATACTGTTTTTAGTTATTTTAGAATGTATAATTAAACTTATGTTGACTATAGTCACCCTGTTGTGCTGTCAGATACTAGATCTTACTCTTTTTTTTTTTGTACCCATTAACCATCCTTACTTCCCCCACCCAGCCCCTCCTCTACCCTCCCCAGCCTCTGGTAGCTATCATTCTTCTCTCTTATCTCCACTGTGAATATCAATCTTTTCTCTATACTAGAAATCACAGCAGCAATTTACCTTCTCATCTTATTTAATAGTTAGGGAAGATACTAGAGATTTCAGGTTTCTTAGCCTAGAGATTTGAATTCCTATAGGTACTAAATTGTAAAATAAGTGTGTTATGTTTAGTTATCATAAATGGTAATAGTGAAAATAATAGTTATAATAAATAGTAATTAATAGTGATGACTCATGCTTACCATATATGTAACTGGCATTTTCTCCTGAATGGCTGAAATAGTATTTCTTTGTTTTTTTGTTTTGTTTTTGTTGTTGTTTGTTTTTTGAGTCTCACTGTGTCACCAGGCTGGATCTCGGCTCACTGCAGCCTCCGCCTCCTGGGTTCAAGTGATTCTCCTGCCTCAGCCTCCCGAGTAGGTGGGACTGCAGGTGCCCACCACCACGCCCAGCTAATTTTTGTATTTTTAGTAGAGACGGGGTTTCACCATGTTGGCCAGGATGGTCTCAATCTCTTGACCTTGTGATCCGCCCGCCCGCCTCTGCCTCCCAAAGCGCTGGGATTACAGGCATGAGCCACTGCGCCTGGCCAATAGTATTTCTTTGAATTTTACCATTGACCCTTGTAAAATGGGAAGTTATGAGTGGATAAGAAAGTTAATATTTAGCTAGGCGCGGTGGCTTAACGCCTGTAATCCCAGCACTTTGGGATGCCAAAGGAGGTGGATCACGAGGTCTGGTGTTCCAGACCAGCCTGGCCAACACAGTGAAACCCCGTTTCCACTAAAAATACAAAAATTAGCCAGGCATAATGGCACACCCCTGTAATCCCAGCTACTTGGGAGGCTGAGGCAGGAGATTTACTTGAACCTGGGAGGCAGAGGTTGCAGTAAGACGAGATCGTGCCATTGCACTCCAGCCTGTGCAATAGAGTGAGACTCTGTCTCAAAAAAAAAACAAAAAAAACTTAATACCCAGATTAATATTAAGCCATGGGAGAATACGAAGGGAATTAGATTATTTATCTCACAACTCAAGGAGTGGACCACTGTGATAATGTGATATAATAAAAAATACATATTTGTTCTTCATCCCTAATTCCTGGCACAGAGGTCCTAAAACCCTAGGAATTTCCTGAGTGATTGGGGTGAGAGAAGCGTCTTAATTTGTAATTAGCTCCTTTCAGCTATACCTGAGTTTCTGCTAACGAAGTGAGTCTTGGTGGGCCCCTTGATAGCTTCTAGATGAGGGCTGGTGGTTGCCAAAGGAACCAGTCATGCAATTTGAGTGTTGGAACTTTCAACCCAGCATCCCTCCAGAGAGAGGAGAGGGGCTGAAGATTGAGTTCAGTTACCAATGGCCAATGATTTTTATCAGTCATGCCTACCTAAGGGAATCTCCATAGGAACCCTAAATAATAGAGTTTGGAGAGCTTCTGGGTTGGTGAAGACATTGAGGTGCTGGGAGGATGGTGTGCCTAAAAAGGGCATGGAAGCTCTGCCCATTCCCCTTTCCTCCATATCTTAACCCCATGTGCCTCTTTCATTAGCTGTTCATCTTTAACCTTTATAGTAAACCAGTAAACAAAAGTGCAGTCTTGTGCCACATAATGTGTTTTTGTCAAAGAGGGACTATGTATATGACTGGTCCCCTGAGATTATAATACTATATTTTTACTGTACCTTTTCTATGTTTAGATGTGTTTTGATACGCAAATACCATTGTGTTACAGTTGCCTACAGTATTCAGTACAGTAACGTGCTATACAGGTTTGTGCTCTAGGGGCAGTAGGTTATGCCCTGTTGTCTAAGTATACCATATAGCCTGACTCTCTGGTATGATGTTCGCACAACGATTCAGTTACCTAACCATGCATTTCTCAGAATGTATTCTCATCATTAAGCAATGCATGATTATAGATGTTTCCTTGAGTTTTATGAGCCATTGTAGCAAATTATTGAATCAGAAGAAGGGGTGTTGGGAACCTCTGATTTGTAGCCAAACTGACAAAAGTTGTGGTTAGCCTGAGGACCCACTACTTGCAATTGGCATCTGAAGTGGGAGGCAGTCTTGTGGGACTGAGCCCTTTACCTTTGGGGTCTACATTAACTATGGGTAGTTAGTGTTAGAATTATAGGATGTTCAAGTGATGTCCGTGGAGAACTGAAGGATTGCTTGGTGTGGACAACTCATAAATTGTGTGCCAGAAATGTTGTGAGAGTATAGAAAAGCCATGTTGATTTTTTTTTTTTTAATCCTCATTAGGGCCAGATTTTTGTTTGGATTCGGAATGTCTGAATTCTCTTTATCTCTCCTCAAGAAGAATAAGGAGATGCTCTGGAAATTGGAAACCGCACCCCCGCCGCCCGAAGTCCTCATATTTCCATTCAAATGGAAAAATACAAAGTAGAACCAGTCCTTTCACTACTAGCCTCTCATTAACACACAAGAAAATCAATCAAATCAGACATTTCCTTCTTGGTCCTCTTATATCTCCACACATATTCTTTCTTTCCTCTGGCTCTTTCTCTTCTTTTATCTCCTTCATTAACTACCTCTTTCCTCCAATACATTTCAGTATTTAAAAAATATTAAGGCCAGGCACAGTAGCTCTTGCCTGTAATCCCAGCACTTTGGGAGGCTGAGGTGGGTGCATCACCTGAGGTCAGGAGTTCAAGACCAGCCTGACGAACATGGCAAAACCCGTCTCTACTAAATACAAAAAATTAGCCAGGCGTGGTGGCGCATGCCTGTAATTCCAGCTACTCCGGAGTCTGAGGCAGGAGAATCGCTTGAACCCGGGAGGAGGAGGTTGTAGTGAGCTGAGATCGCGCCATTGCACTCCAGCCTGGGCAACAAGAGCGAAACTCTGTCTCAAAATTAATAATAATAATAATAATTCTTGGCCTTCTGCTTTTCTCTGATTACACCTTCTCTTTAGGAGGTCTTATCTATTTCTGGAATTTCAGTGACCATCCTCTTGATAAAAACACAAAATACTACATAATTATGTTGGAGGACTGGGTGAGAGTAGGGTAGGAGGGGTGGAATAGTTTAGTTATCTGATGATAGTATGCTAGAAATTCAATAAACAATTTATAAAATTAATAACCAAGAAATAGTCATATAAAGTATATTATAGTTGGCCCTCTATATCTGTAGGTTCCACATCCTTGGGTTTAGCCAACTGCATGGAAAATATCAGGAAAAATAAACAATAAAAACAACAATACTACAGTTAAAAAAATGAGTAAAACTGTAGTACAATTACTGTTTGTTAATTAATTAATTAATTTATTTTTTCTTGAGACGGAATCTTGCTCTGTTGCCCAGGCTGGAGTGCAGTGGCGTGATCTCAGCTCACTACAACCTCTGACTCCTGGGTACAAACAATTCTCCTGCCTCAGCCTCCCGAGTAGCTGGGATTACAGGTGCCCGCCACCATGCGTGGCTAATTTTTGTATTTTTAATAAAGGCAGGGTTTCATCTTGTTGGCCAGGCTGGTCTCAAACTGGCTGGTCTCAAACTCCTGACTTCATGATCCTCCCACCTCAGCCTCCCAAAGTGCTGGGATTACAGGCGTGAGCCACTGTGTCTTATATAGCATTACATTGTATTAGGTATTACAAGTAGTCTAGAGATGATTTAAAGTATATGAGAGGATTTACATAGGTTTTATGCAAATACTAAGCCATTTTATATAAAGGGCTTGAGCATCTGCAGAGTTTGGTATCCACTGGGGGTCCTGGGACCAAGCTCCCACAGATACGAGAGGACCATTGTCTTCAATACTGGAGGGAATGCCTGTAAGATTTGGGGAATATTTGCCTCTGGGAAGGGAGACTAGGGATAGAGAAGAAGGCAATGGGATTCTTTTTTCATCATAATCCATTTCATTCTTTTTTTACTTTTTAAGCTTATGTACACATGTTACTATTAAAATTTATTTAAAAGTTAGAGCATACGGGTATTTCACAGAATTATTGGCAAAGAAATGCATCTTTATAGAATTGGTTAAAGTAAAATTCATGAAGAGCAGGGACCTTGTGTTATTTATTCCTATGTTCCCAGTGTCTAGGGTAGACTTGACATGTAGCGAGGGCTTGATAAGTACTTACTTAATGAATTAAGCAATTGCAGAAATGAAATTTCTGGAGTGGGAGTGAGATTAGAGTCTTTAGGATGGCAGGCAAATGCTCTCTACTGGGCTGTAAGCTCCATGGAGCTAGGGGCCTTGCTTGCTTTTTGCTTTGTCTTGTGTACATATGTCTGGTACATACTGAGTAGATACTCAGTAAATGCTCAGGGCTGTCTTTAGAATGGACCTTTCAAGAAATATAGCCCTGAATGTAAGAAGAGAGGTCACTTCCCCCAGCTTTGTCTTGTTACATTTATTCAGTTGTCATATGCCCCTTGCTTCACTTGGTTGGTTTCTTTGTTAGGCCTAAGGTCAGAATAATGCTGTTACTCAAAGTCTTTATGTATTAAGTAAACTTTTTAAGTATGGCCTTCTTTGAACAAAACTTGATGTATGTTACGGAGATCATAAAGATGACCAAGGCTCAGTCTCTGACTCTAAAAACATGTGGTCGTGGTCCAGCAGGGGAAATTGAATTTATACGTGTATATATATATATATATATATGTAAACAATAGTTGTACTACAGTTTTATCCTTTTTTTTTTTTGAGACAGGGTCTTGCTCTGTTGCCCAGGCTGGAGTGCAGTGGCGTGATCTCATCCCACTGCAACCTCCACCTCCCGGGTTCAAGTAGTTCTGCCTCAGCATCCTGAGTAGCTGGGATTACAGGTGCGTGCCACCATGCCCAGCTAATTTTTTGTATTTTTAGTAGAGACAGGCTTTCACCGTGTTAGCCAGGATGGTCTCCATCTCCTGACCTTGTGATCCGCCTGCCTCCGCCTCCCAAAGTGCTGGGATTACAGGCATGAGCCACCGCGCCTGGCCTCATTTTTTTATTGTAGTATAAGGCCTGCCTTAGTCTCTTCAGGCTGCTGTAACAAATACCATAGTCTAGGTGGCTTATAAACAACAGAAATTTATTTCTCACAGTTTTAGGAGCTGAGAAATTTGTCTGGGTGCAGTGGCTAACGCCTGTAATCTCAGTACTTTGGGAGGCCAATGTGAGCGGATCACCTGAGGTCGGGAGTTTGAGACCAGCCTGACCAACATGGAGATACCCTGTCTCTACTAAAAATACAAAATTAGCCAGGCATGGTGGTACATACTTGTAATCCCAGCTACTCGGGAGGCTGAGACAGGATAATCGCTTGAACCCGGGAGGTGGAGGTTGCAGTGAGCCAAGATCGCACCACTACCCTCCAGTGTGGGCAACAAGAGTGAAACTCATCTCAAATAAATTAATAGATAGGTAGGTAGATAGATAGATAGATAGATAGATAGATAGATAGATAGATAGATAGAGGCTGGGAAATTCAAGATCAAGGAACCCAGATTCATTATGGCGAGGGCCTGCTTCCTGGTACATAGAGAGTGCCTTTTTGCTGTGTCCTCACAAGGCAAAAGGGTGAGGGATTCTTTGGGATTGAATTTATAAGGATACTGATCCTATTCATGAGCTCTCTGCCTTCATAACCCAATCACCTTCCAAACACCCCACCTCCGAATACCCTTACATTTGGGGTTAGGTTTCAACATAGGAATTTTGATAACAAGGGCTAAGCAGCTTGTACAGGAGAAAGGAGGAAGAGGTCATTAAATCTCATTGGGGTCTGTAGGTGGAGGGACTGATGGAAGTGTAGACTAGGAAAGGGAGGGAGAAATCAGGAAGGCTTCATTTCCTTTCTTCCCCTTTTCCTTTTTATCTTTTAAAAACTCTTTCTTTTATTTCTTTTCTCTCATGCTTTGCTTTTGCAATTACTTAGTACTTGCCATGAGTCAGGAAATGTGCTGCATGCTGGAAGATGAAAAGATAAATTAGGGAGCCTATTATGTGGCTGGAGAGACAGACATGTTATCTCTTCCCCTTCCTCCTCAAAAAATGAGGGCAATGAAACAGCTCTAGCAAAAAAAATTGAGGACTTAGGCAGTGTCTCACAGGTAAATCACAGCCTTGATGTGAATAGAAGTGTTAATTGTAGTACCATTTCTTGAATTGCTGTGTGCCAGGCACTGTGCTATGAGCTTTTTCATACATCTAACTTTAATATCTCTCAGAACAGCTCTGTAGATTACCTACATATAAGTAGATAATAATATTCTAATTTTACAGATGAGGGAGGCATATGATTTGTTAAGTGACTTACCTAAGTTCACATAGTCTGTAAATTCCTGAATTGTATTGAAGTCTGACTCCAAAGTCATTCTACTCAAAAAATGCCAGAGGAACTGTAATATATTGCTGGTGGAATTATAAACGATGCCGTCAGTTTGGAAAACAGTTTGGCAGTTCCTCAAAAGGTTGAATAGAGAGATCAAGTGACCCAACAAGAGAAATGAAAATAAACGTTCACACAAAAACTTATAAATGGATGTCAAAACAGCATTAGTCTTAATATTTCCAGAGTGAAACAAAATGTGGTATATCCATATACTGGAATATTATTTAGCCATAGAAAGGAATGGATTGGTACGCGGTTCAGTGTGGATGAACCTTGCAAACATTATGGTAGGTGAATGAACCTGATTACAAAGACCACATGTTTTATGATTCTGTTTATATGAAATGTCCAGAATTGGCAAATACACAGAAGTTGGAGTGGTGGTTGTCAGTGGCTCAGGGAAGAGATAAATGGGCTTGAGGTTTCTTTTTAGGGTGGTGAAAATGTCCTAAAATTGTGATGATGGTTGTACAACTTTGTGAATATACTAAAAAAAAAAAATTGAATTGTATACTTTAAATAATAGATAATTGTGTAGTATGTGAATTGTGTCTAATTTTGTTTAAAACAAGACAAAACAAAACAAATCCGATTCTGAAAGAGAATTTTCTGCTCTACATATCTGGAAGTATCAGTAAGCTCTTACTGTAATAGTAAATAAGCAGGTGATCCTCACTTACAGTCTTCAGCCTCATGTTACTTAACATCTTCCCAACATTAATAATATCTTAAAATGTACTGTCTGAGGCCAGGTGGGTGGCTCACGCCTGCAATCCTAGCACTTTGGGAGGCAGAGGCAGGCAGATCATGAGGTCAGGAGTTCAAGACCAGCCTGACCAACATGGCGAAACCCCGTCTCTACTAAAAATACAAAAATTAACTGGGCGTGGTGGCGTGTGCCTGTGATCCCAGCTACTCAGGAGGGGTTTTGTTAGCCTTTGGTCCACAGTCGTGTGCTTTTTATTTATGACTTAATGTTTAATATCTTCTTTCAGAAGGTTTTTCTTATTCCAAGATTATTTTCATTTTCATTTTCATTTTTTTTTGAAACAGGGTCTCACTCATGCAGGCTGGAGTGCAGTGGCATGATCTTGGTTGGCTCACTGCAACCTCTTGTTTCCCGGGTTTAAGTGATTCTCCTTCCTCAGCCTCCCTATTAGCTGGGATTACAGGGGTGCGCCACCACGCGTGGCTAATTTTTGTATTTTTAGTAGAGACAGGGTTTCACCATGTTGGCCAGCTTGGTCTCAAATTCCTAACCTCGGGTGATCCACCCGCCCTGGCCTCCCAAAGTGCTGGGATTACAGGCCTAAGCCACTGCACCTGGCCTCTAAGATTATTTTAAAAATGTAACATTTTTGTCTAAAACTGGCCTCATTTTTTACATTACATAGATCTTTGACTCACCATTTTGTTTATGGTATGAAGTACAAACCAAAACTTTTTTTAAAAAAAATGGGTAATCTGTTGTTCCAATCACTTGTTGAATAGTTTGTGTTTTTATTGGCTAGAAATGTAACTATTATTAAAGAGCAGTTGTTATTGGAAGGTAGTTTTTAAAATTTACAAATGGGTATATTTGGTATACATTTAAAATAATAAAAACATTTAAAGTGTTATGTGATTGTAGATTAGATTGTTTCTTATATGTTTAGAATTTATAGGACCAGTTTTTTCTCAAAGCATGTGTAGTCTGAAAAGGAATGTAATATTTTTCCTCATAAATAAGAGTTTGCCTTATTGAAGGCTTGTGTTTCTGCAGGTAATCTTACTTTGAAAGCAGACTACTCGGTCTAGTAGAAAGAGGGGGAATTAGCAGTTTGAATAATGGAGTTGTAGTTTTAGACCTGCCACTCCCTAACTGGTCCTTTGTGTGGGTCAGCCTCTCTGTGTTTTGTTTTCCTCTGTTAAAATGCATGAATAATAATCCCCACAGTGTCTACTTATATGAGTATTTTATTAGATGGGATCATGGATGTAAAAGCACTTTTAATTGGTAAAGCAGTTTAAATGTAAGGAATTACTGCATCTTAACCTTTCCTCCCTTTTTCTTGTAGGTAGTGTTGGTGCTTCTTTTCAGTGCCAGTCCATCCATCACGACCACATTTGTCATGATGACAGTGACAAGGTGAGGTTCGTGTTGATGTCTGCCATGGGGAAAATGCATGCCAACCTTACGTTGCTGGATTCTCTTGCGTAACTCTGGGCCTAGGGCAAGAAGAGTGTGATTTGTGGGGACACATTGTTGAGATGCTGAGGGCCTTGCTGGTTTGTGTGTCAAATTATTGACTGCTCCAGAAAACCTAGGGCAAATTCCTCAACCCGAGGTGGGTTGGACTTTTGATCAACACTCCACTTTCCTACCTATGCCTCTGTCCCCATCGTGGTGCTTCCTCTTCTGCAAAGCCTGAATGGATTATCTTAATATACGAACATGTGTTTCAGAGGTTGATAGCTATCTCAGCAACTCATGTTGGAAATATCCTGGACATTACATTTTGGTTCACTTTTGGCATTAATTGCATTGAATTATGTTTTCTTCTTATACTTTACCTTCAAAAAATTTTTTTGGCTCTGTTTACAAAGGCCAGTTTAAATATTGGGGATTGTCAGTTGAATCGATCTGGTTCATACACAAGAAGTCTACTTTGGGCCTGATATGTATATATTTTAAATTATGTCCAAACTATTGGTGGTGGTTTCATTGTGTTTTTTGCTTTTGTTCTTTTTATCTCTAAAGAAACCTGGTCTCTAGGGGGGGCTTTTCTTTTTTTTTTTTTTTTTTTTTTTTTGAGACGGAGTCTCGCTCTGTCGCCCAGGCTGGAGTGCAGTGGCGCAATCTCGGCTCACTGCAAGCTCCGTCTCCCGGGTTCACGCCATTCTCCTGCCTCAGCCTCCCGAGTAGCTGGGACTACAGGCGCCCGCCACCACGCCCGGCTAATTTTTTGTATTTTTAGTAGAGACGGGGTTTCACCGTGTTAGCCAGGATGGTCTCGATTTCCTGACCTCGTGATCCGCCCGCCTCGGCCTCCCAAAGTGCTGGGATTACAGGCGTGAGCCACCGCGCCCGGCCGGGGCTTTTCAATACTCATCAGTACGCTTGACGGCCCAGCCCTTGCAGTAAATATTTCTGTGAGCTGGGCGTTTGGAACATCTGGCTGCCGATCTGGATGGACTTAAATTTAGTCTTTTTCACCATCAATTTCTAGTGGCTTCCCTCCCATTTTCTGCGTGTTATATGCAGGAATCTATCACTCCCTTGGTAGTTTCCAGTGCAGACCAATCTAAGCAGTCTTTTTCTCTGCTGTTTTGATCAAGATCCTCCTCTCTCATTGTGTTGGAGCTGGATCAAGAAGTTGGTTGATAATTGGGATTTTCCAAATGGTTTCTTTGTTCTGTTTGTTGGTCTCTGTCTTTGTGAGCTTTGTTCAGACTGATTTCACTCTCTTTACAGAGAGTGGTAGCTTATAGCATTCCAGAGTCTCCTTTATTATTGTACCAATCAAGAGACATGAGTTTCATTTTTAACTTCTTTCAAAGGCAAGCCACTGAAAGAGACTTCTAGAATATATAGTTGGCTACAGAAAATTTTGTATACTACAGATTTTAGAAATGAGCATTTGAAATTAAGAGTGATGATAGAGGGAGAAGGCAAAATCATTTTAGGTTACTAATGTTACAAGTGATTGTGCTTCATAATTATGAAGGTGCTTTTGGGTTAAATTTTTTTTCTTCTGCTAAGTGTGTTATGCTAGTATCCATTTGTTCATTTATGGTATAGAAGCCAGACTGCCCTCCGGGTTGTCTCCAGACCTTAGATTCTGAAGATAAGCTTTTTGTCTACCTTTGCCAGGTACTTCCTGTCACCCCTTAAAATGTTTTTGTTTTCTAATTTATTAATCTTTTCTATAGCTGATTTTGTGCTTTTGAGACAGGAGATTTTTCTGGAAATATGGGGGAAAAAAGGGAAGAGAAGTTTAAGGAATATTATTAAGGAACAGGAGATCAGCAGGGTAAAGAACTGTCTGAAACGACTCTCCTTTCTTCCTGCCTACCATGTATATATTGATTGTTTCCTAAATGGAAATGGAGAAAATGGATTAGGGTCTCTTGACTATGTATTTAGAATTTATTCAATTCATTCAGTCAGCAAGTAGTACTTATCGATAGGTAGCTATGTGTCTAGGCATTTAGGGAATACAGCCAGATAGAAAACAGATAGATTCTAGTATAGCATTTTACAATAAGTGAAGTGGATAAAAGAAAAGTTACAGATTACAGCCTTTCTTTCTCTCCTGTTTTTTTTTTTTTGTTTTTTGGTGGGTAGACTGAGTCTCCCTTCGTTGCTCAGGCTGGAGTGCAGTGGTACAGTCTTGGCTCACTGCAACCTCTGCCTCCCAGGTTCAAAAGATTCTCAGCCTCCTGAGTAGCTGGGATTACAGGCGTGTGCCACCACGGCCAGCTAATTTTTTGCATTTTTATGTTTGTTTGTTTGTTTGTTTATTATTTTGAGATAGAGTCTCCCTCTGTTGCCCAGGCTGGAGTGCAGTGGCAAGATCTAAGCTCACTGTAGTGTCTGCCTCCTGGTTCAAGTGATTGTTGTGCCTCAGCCTCCCAAGTAGCTGGGACTGCAGGTGTTCATCACCGTGCCTGGCTAATTTTTGTATTTTTAGTAGAAATGGGACTTCACCATGTTGACCAGGCTAGTCTCGAACTCCTGGCCTCAAGTGATCCACCCAACTCAGCCTCCCAAAGTGTTTGGATTACAGGTGTGAGCCACCATGCCTGGCCAGATTATAGCTTTCAACAGGATCATCAGGTGTTATTCTGGGGAGGAGAGTGGGTGGATATCATATTTAAAAATCAGATCGCTACATATACAACAGCCCCCTGACGTCTTTCTATGACACGTGGGTATTGGTTTTGCAAAAACTAAAATGAACCTGTTGCCCTCTGCACACTCACTCTCTCTCCCTTCCCCACTTCTTCATAGTCTAACTCAGAATTAAAGGGATCATAGAGCACGTTTACGCCAACCTGCTTTTTATTTTTATTTTATTTATTTATTTTTATTTTTCAGACAGAGTTTCGCTCTTACTGCCCAGGCTGGAGTGCAATGGTGTGATCTTGGCTCACTGCAACCTCCGCCTCCCGGGTTCAAGTGATTCTCCTGCCTCAGCCTCCCGAGTAGCTGGGATTACAGGCATCCGCTACCACGCCCGGCTAATTTTGTATTTTTAGTAGAGACGAGGTTTCTCCATGTTGGTCAGGCTGGTCTCAAACTCCTGACCTCAAGTGATCCTCCCACCTCAGCCTCCCAAAGTGCTGGTATTACAGGCGTGAGCCACCATGCCTGGCCCCAACCTGCTTTAAAAAAAAATAAACTTGGGAGCTGTGACCACCATGGGAGAAATTACTTGTTCAGGGGTAACCCACAGTGCTAGGGGTAGACCAGATCTTCTGTATCGAATGCAAGTTATATAAAATATTTGCTTAGGTATTCTGAGCACATTGTCAAAACGTGTTGATTCTTTGCTTGTTGTCTTTGCCTATCTTTCAGGCATGGTGTATTTCTCAGATTGGGGAAGAAAAGATGATTTTTCTTACATGATTTTTCTTATAAGTTTTCTCACTTTTAACTAATCCATGTGTGACTGGGGATGGAACCACAGTTCAGGCAAGGAGTATGAGGGCCAATTTATTTGTTGGACATCCTCTCTACAGCCTTGGAGGTGGTGTCCAATCCCCAATTTTTTGGCTTGATCTGTTGTTCTCCAGCTTAAAGTTTCTCTCCTGATATGTATCTGTTTATAGTTTATAGTGCTGGAAGAAACTGATTCCAGCTCTGATGTTAATTATTAAATCCTGTGAGTTACAAATTCTCATTAATTTATATTGGGCACAGCAATTTGCACAAGCCCTCCAGCATTATTTTTACATTCGTTCACAGGGCCATATTCCATAATTTCTAGGTGGCAAACGTTTATATTTGAGTAGCTACTACATACAGAGCAATGTTCTAGATACTGGGGATACTGCATTGAAGAAAACAGAAGTCTTTGCTCTTATGCAGCTTGCTTTCTGTGAGTGGGGAAAGGCAAGACAATAAAGATATTGTTAACTGATTATTTGTGTTGTGAAGAATAAGAAAGCAGGGAAGGGGGCATAGAAGTACTGGGAGAAGGTTGTCCTCTTTTTTTTTTTTTTTGGAGACAGAGTCTTGCTCTGTTGCCCAGGCTGGAGTGCAGTGGCGCGATCTCAGTTCACTGCAAGCTCTGCCTCCTGGGTTCACTCCATTCTCCTGCCTCAGCCTCCCTAGTAGCTGGGACTACAGGTGCCTGTCACCACGCCTGGCTAATTTTTTGTATTTGTAGTAGAGAGGGGGTTTCACTGTGTTAGCCAGGATGGTCTCGATCTCCTGACCTCGTGACCCACCCGCCTCGGCCTCCCAAAGTGCTAGGATTACAGGCGTGAGCCACCGTGCCCGGCCGAAGGTTGTCCTTTTAACCAGGTAGTCACAACACCCTTTGAAGTAGGGACTGCTTTATTCCAGTTTTATCAGTGAGGAATCTGAGGCACAGATTAAATATTTACCCAAGATCACACAGCAGTACACTGGGATTCCATCCCAAGCTGCCTTGCTCAAGTCTGTACTCTGCTGTTTGAAGAAACCTATTCCTATTTTAACTTCACCCATTCAACTGTGACATGCTTGGAGAAACATATCTGCAAGTGGAGAAGGCCTCAGAGAGTCACAGTGGAACTGAACCATTGGCACCAGTCCTTCTCGGTAGTTTTTTTTCTTGCCCCCAGGCCTTTATTCTGATTCATGACTATTTGTTATTCCAGGCTCCTTGCCAAGTCATCCCTACCCTGTGTCAGGTTCAGAATTCTGTGCGAGTTTTTTGTTTGTTTGTTTGTGACAGGGTCGCACTTTGTTACCCAGGCTGGGGTGCAGTGGCGCAATTTCTGCTCACTGCGACCTCTGCCCCCACCTTCAAGGGATTCTCCCACCTCAGCCTTCCCAAGTAGCTGGGAATACAGATGCCGTGCCACCTGTAGTCATGTTTCACTTAGATACTGAAATTAACTCAGCTAATGTCAGTTTGAAAATAGTCACATTTTCACAGTGACAACAAGCTTGAGCTGGGGAACTAGGTCTGACCTGAGAATGAGATAAAATATTGAAGAATTTGATAAGACTATTCTCTCAGTTGAGGTGAATTAACTTGTAGCCTCAATTATATATTTTTTCAGAGTTCTTGATACATTGCCAGGAGGATGGCCATTTGAGAAACGAAAATAGAAGAGTTCTTCCTAAACTGCTTATGTGTACTGATTCAGAGCAGGAGTCTTTCTTGACAAGAATTCCTTATAGTAGGCTTCATTCATTTGTCTTGGAAAAAAGCACCCATCCAGCTTGTGGTATAAGTAATCCCATGCATACTGCCTTCAGGGAAGATGGAAAATGTACTTACAGGTTCAATATCGCTTATCTAAAATGCTTGGGACCAGAAGTGTTTGGGATTTTGGATTTTTTTCAGGTTTTGTATATTTGCGTTATATACTGGTTGAGCATCCCAAATCTGAAAATCCAAAATGTTCCATTGAGTACTTCCTTTGAGTGTGAAATCTTTGCTCAGAAAGTTTTGGATTTTGTAGCATTTCAGATTTTGGATTTTTAGATTTTTGCTCGAGATGTACCAGTTTTTCTTCTGTGACTGTATACTTCCTTTTTCTTGATCTTTTTACTTTTTAGTATTTATTTGTTTATTTTTGAAATGGAGTCTTGCTCCATTGCCCAGGCTGGAATGCAGTGGTGTGATCTCGGCTCACTGCAACCTCCACTGCCAGGGTTCAAGCAATTCTCCAGCCTCAGCCTCCCGAGTAGCTGGGATTACAGGCATGCACCACCACCATGCCCAGCTAATTTGTTGTTGTTGTTGTTGTTTTTTGAGACAGAGTCTTGCTCTGTCACCCAGGCTGGAGTGCAGTGGCACCATCTCGCCTCACTGCAACCTCCGCCTCCCAGGTTCAAGCGATTCTCCTGCCTCAGCCTCCTGAGTTGCTGGGATTACAGGCGCGTACCACCACATTTGGCTAATTTTTGTATTTTTAGTAGAGATAGGGTTTCACCATGTTGGCCAAGCTGGTCATGAACTCCTGACCTCAAGTGATCTGCCCGCCTCAGCCTCCCAAAGTGCTGGGATTACAGGCATGAGCCACTGCGCCCAGCCTGTATTTTTTTTTCGTAGAGATGGGGTTTCACCATGCTGGCCAGGCTGGTCTTCAGCTCCTGTCCTCAAGTGATCCACCTGCTTTGGTCTTCCAAAGTGCCGGGATTACAGGCATGAATCATCATGCCTGGCCTCTTTTTAATTTTTAAAAATTACATATTGATTGTTGGCCAGGCGCAGTGGCTCATGCCTGTAATCCCAGCACTTTGGGAGGCCGAAATGAGTGGATCACTCAACCTCAAGAGTTTGAGACCAGCTGACCAGCCTGGACAACATGGCAAAACCCTGTGTATACAAAAAATACAAAATTAGCTGGGCCTAGTGGTACACACCTGTGGTCCTAGCTACTCAGGAGGCTGAGGCGGGAAGATTACTTGAGGTTGCATGGAGATCAAGCCACTGCATTCCAGCCTGGGTGATGGAGTGAGACCCTGTCTCCAAAAAAAAAAAAAAAATCACATATTGATTGTAAAAACAAACACAGCACTCTATTCAGTTTCTCTCCTGAGAAATAACAATTGGAATTTCAGTATTAACAGATTGTTTTTTCTTACCATATTTGTATGAAATGTTTTTCATCCTTGTAAAATCAAGTTCCTTGATTGTACCTTGGTAGAGAAAGATTCTCTAGCTTAAGATAGGAACTAGATTTGTAAAAGTTAAGCAGTGTTTCATTTAAAAAGTGGTGGAAGTGGCTGGGTTTGGTGGCTCATGCTTGTAATCCCAGCAGATTGGGAGGCCAAGGCAGGCAGGTCACTTGGGGCCAGGAGTTCGAGACCAGCCTGGCCAACATGGTGAAACCCTGTCTCTACTAAAAATACAAAAATTAGCTGAGCGTAGTGGTGCACGCCTGTAATCCCAGCTACTCGGAAGGTTGAGGCAGGAGAATCTCTTGAACCCAGAAGTGGAGTTTGTATTGAACCGAGATTGCACCACTGCACTCCCGCCTGGGTGACAGAGTGAGATTCTGTCTCCAAAACCAAAAAAAGTGATGGAAGTATTGTTAATTTATAGAATTATTATTGGTACTTTTAGGTAAATAGTTCAAATATCAAAAATAAAAGTTAACCTACTGTTAGAATTCAAGTAAGATGTATAATTTTAAATCAAAAGCGGGCAGGATTAACTTGCAGCTTCTACTCGGATGGACAAAACAGTGTGTGGAGACTCACATCGTGAACTTTTGCTTCAAGAACTACCGCAGGAACATAACAGTAAAACCGAAATTATTCACAGACCCTTTGAAATAAGCGGCTTGTCGCTGCAAATTCCATGAGACAGCCAAAAGCTGTGAGTGCCCAAAGTGAAGAGGGGGAAAGTCTGCCTCTGAACACACATCCTCACTGGGGAACCTGAAAATCCAGATCATGGGAGAAGGATTTAACCTTACCTGGAGCTGATACGAATTTAGAGAGCCAAATGAAATATAAAAGTTGATGCAAGGCCAGGCGCGGTGGCTCCCAGCCAAAAAGTGCTGTAATCCCAGCACTTTGGGAGGCCAAGGTGGGTGGATCATCTGCAGTCAGGAGTTCGAGACCAGCCTGGCTAACGTGGCGAAATCCTATCTCTACTAAAAATACAGAAATTAGCTGGGCATGTGGCACATGCCTGTAATCCCAGCTACTTAGGCAGCTGAGGCAGGAGAATCGCTTTAACCAAGGAGGCGGAGGCTGCAGTGAGCTGAGATGGTGCCGCTGCACTCCAGCCTGGGCCACAGAATGTGACTCTGTCTCAAAAAAAAAAAAAAAAAAAAAAAAAAAATATCGAGGCAGCAGCAAGAAGGAGCCCTGTAGACACTTCTAGTCCCCAGGGAAGCCATTTCTGACTTTTATCTTACCAGGGGTTCTTGGGAAAGGCTGCCATTAGAAATGGGGAAGGACCACAGGGAGAAGAAAACTTACAGCCTAACTTTGTAATAATTTTGACTGAGTGCAAATTTTCCTGGGCAATATTTGGGAGTGGGCAAACCGAAAGTGCAGATACTGGCACAGAAGTTAGGGCAGGCAGGGAGGGGCAAGACCTGAAATCCTTGCCTGCTTTCTCAGCAGGGGCTTTTGTAGCCTGGGGCAAAATCTCAGCCTTGCTCTAAGGCTGCCTGGATATAACGGTGTTGTCAGGGCATGGTGGGACTGAGACCGGCCTTGCTGGTTGTGGAGGAATTCGGTGAGGCCTGTCACTGCCAGCTTGCCCCCAACTCCCTGGTGATCTGTTTGAAGCAGCAGAGGCAACCATAATCCCCCAGGGAATACAATTTTATTGGCCTGAGAATCACACCCCCATCCCCCATCCTCCCATCTCCCACCCCCTCCCCCTCCCTCCGCCCTGTGGCCACAGCAAGCCCCGCCCAAGGAGAGTCTCAGATATGCCTAACCTGGCCCTTACTTGATGGTCTTTTTCCGCCCTGGTAGCGTAAAACAAAACACATAATATCTTGAGAGCTCTATGGTGCCACCCATCACCTGATAAATCAGAATACTTATCCAAGTGACCTTAGGGCAAACTTGTATCCCCCGCCCCGTACTACTGCAGTCGATGTTGTATTGAAAGCGCCACCTTCTGACTGGAGGCCAACCAACTGAAGCCATTACAGCAACTCATAAAAGAACAACTCTGCACCAAGAAAGGAGAAAATAATAGCAAATTCCACTGCCTGTAACATCCTAGCTAACCAGAGGTTCTGAGTCTGTCCATGTTACAACTTCACTGCCAGCACAACCAGCATTTGAGAAAACCAGTGCACTAAACAAAACTACCAAGGACCCTCACAGGGTCCACTTCATTCCCCTGCTACCTCCATCGGAGCAGATGCCACAGCTGAGAGACCGGGATACTGATCACATTACAGGACTCTTTGCAGACACTCCCCAGTACCAGCCCGGACCCCAGTAGCTCTACTAGGTGGCTAGATGCAGAAGAGCAGCAACAATCACTGTAGTCCAGCTCTCAGGAACCTCATCCCTAGGGGAAGGGGGAGAGCACCATGTCAGGGGATCACCCCATGGGACAAAAGAATCTGAACAACAGCTATTGAGCCCCAGATCTTTCCTCTGACATTAGAAAAAAACAAAAAAACAAAAAAAACAAGATACGGACAAAAAAATCTCCAGAGAAATAAAATCAATAAAACAACAATCACAACTTCAGGAAATGAAAGACACACTTAAATACAAAATACACTGGAAAATTTCAATAGAATTGAACAAGAAAGAAGTTGAGGGCTCAAAGATAAGGCTTTTTAATTAACCCAGTGTGACAAAAAAGAAAAAAACTGAATAAAGCCTCCAATAAGTTTGAGATTATGTTAAACGATCAAGCCTAAGAATAATTGGTGTTGTTGAGGAAGAAGGGAAATCTAAAAATTTGGAAAACTTATTTGAGGGAATGATTGAGGAAAATTTCCCTGGCCTTGCTAGAGATCTATACATCCAAATACGAGAAACTCAAATAACTCCTGGGAAATGCATTGCAAAAAGATTATCACCTAGGCACACAGTCATCAGGCTAACTAAAATAAAGATGAAGAAAAGAACCTTAAGAACTGTTAGGGAAAAGCATAAAGGAAAACCTGTCAGATTAACAGCACGTTTTTCAGCAGAAACCCTGCAAGCTAGAAGGGATTGGAGTCCTATGTTTAGCCTCCTTAAACAAAACAATTACCAGCCACGAATTTTGTATCCAGTGAAACTAAGCTTCATAAATAAAGGAAAGATAAAAGTCTTATTCAGACAAACAAATGCTGAGAGAATTCGACACCACCAAGCCAGCACTACAGGAACTGCTAAAAGGAGTTCTAAATCTTTTTTTTTTTTTTTTTTTGGAGACAGAGTTTCGCTCTCGTTGCCCAGGCTGGAGTGCAATGGTGCGATCCCGGCTCACCACAACCTCCACCTCCTGGGTTCTAGTGATTCTCCTGCCTCAGCCTCCCGAGTAGCTGGGATTACAGGCATGTGCCACCACGCCCGGCTAATTTTTTGTATTTTTAGTAGAGACAGGGTTTCTCCATGTAGGTCAGGCTGGTCTCGAACTCCCAACCTCAGGTGATCTGCCCCCCTCAGCCTCCCAAAGTGCTGGGATGAACAGGCGTGAGCCCAGTTCTAAATCTTGAAACAAAACAAAACTTCAAAGTACACCAAAATAGAACCTCCTTAAAGCATAAATCTCACGGGGCCTATAAAACAATAACACAAGGAAAAAATACCAAGATATTCAGGCAGCAGCGAGAACGATGAATAGAATAGTAGCTAACATCTCAATACTAACGTTGAATGTAAATGGCCTAAATGCTCCACAAAGAATACAGAGTGGCAGAATGGGTAAGAATTCACCAACCAAGTATCTGCTGTCTTCAAGAGACTCACCTAACACATAAGGACTCACATAAACATAAGGTAAAGGAGTGAAAAAAGATATTCCATGCAAATGGACATGAAAAGCAAACAGGAGTCGCTATCCGGAGTCGCTATCCTTATATCAGACGAAACAGACTTTAAAGCAGTAACAGTTAACAAAGACAAGGAGGGACATTATGTAATGATAAAAGGACTGGTCCAACAGGAAAATATCATAATCCTAAATATATTTGCATTTAACACTGGAGCTCCCAAATTTACAAAACAATTGCTACTAGAAAACAGCAGCACAATAATAGTGGAGGACTTCAATACTCCACTGACAGCACTAGACAAGTCATCAAGATGGAAAGTTAACAAAGAAACAATGGGCTTGAACTATACAACAAAAGTGACCAAATGAGAATCAAATCAAGAACTCAACTGCTTTTACAATAGCTGCAAAAACAAACAAACAAAACTAGGAATAGACCTAAGAGCTGAAAGACCTCTACAAGGAAAACTACAAAATACTGCTGAAAGAAACCATAGGTGACACAAACAAACAGAAACATATCCCATGCTTCTCATTATTTCTTGCCCCCTGCTCCCAGCAACCACTGATATTTCTGTATATGAATTTGCCTATTCTGTACATTTCATAAAATGGGATCTCAAAATGTAGCCTTTTGTGTCTGGCTTCTCTCATTGAGCATGATTATGTTAGTCTGTTCTTGTGTTGCTATAAAGAAATACCTGAGGCTGGGAAATTTATAAAGAAAAGTTTCATTGGCTTGCAGTTCTGCAGACTTTATACAAAGCATGGTGCCGCATCGGTTTCTGGTGAGGCCTCAGGAAGCTTAGGGAAAGGAGGCGATATCACATGGTGATAGAGGGAAAGAGAGAGTTGTGGGGAGATGCCATGCTTTTTTTTTTTTTTTAAATTGAGATGGAGTCTTGCTCTGTTGCCCAGGCTGGAGTGCAATGGCGCATTCTTGGCTCACTGCAACTTCTGCCCCCCCAGGTTCAAATGAGTCTCCTGCCTCTGCCTCCCTAGTAGCTGGGATTACAGACACCTGCCACCACGCCCAGCTTTTTTTTTTGAGATGGACTCTCGCTCTTGTTGTCCAGGCTAGAGTGCAATGGCTTGATCTCAGCTCACTGCAACCTCTGCCTCTTGGGTTCAAGCGATTCTCCTGCTTCAGCCTCCTGAGTAGCTGGGACTATAGGCATGTGCCACCACACCCGGCTAATTTTGTATTTTTAGTAGAGATAGGGTTTCACCATGTTGGTCAGGCTGGTCTTGAACTCCCGACCTCAGGTGATCCACCCGCCTTGGCCTCCCAAAGTGCTGAGATTACAGGTGTGAACCACCGCGCCTGACCCTAATTTTTGTATTTTTAGCAGAGATGGGATTTCACCATGTTGGTCAGGCTGGTCTTGAATTCCTGACCTCAGGTGATCCACCTCGGCATCCCAAAGTGCTGGGATTACAGGCGTGAGCCACTGCACCCAGCCAGTGCCATGTTCTTTTAAACAACCAGATCTTTCGTGGACTACCAAAGCGAGATCTCATCTCGCTCTTCACCAAGTGGATGGCGCTAAGCCATTCATAAGGGATCCACCCGCAAAATCCAGATACCTCCCACGAAGTCCCATCTGCAACACTGGGGATTACAGTACATGAGATTTGTAGGGGACAAATATCCAAACCATATCACATGGTCATTTCAAGATTCATGTTGTGCAAGTAATTGGGTAGTTAGCTGCTCTCTATTAGGTGTTGAAGATGGCCTTCAACCTGACACTTTGGCAAAGATCTGAATAATAAGTAACAATTCAGGTGAAAATCAGGGTCATGGAAAGAACATTTAAGGGAAATAATACAGCTAGTGCAAAATCCCTAAAGCCGGAAAGATGAGGGAAACAAAAGGCTGATATTTGTAAGCATGGTGGATGCGGATTGGGAATGGTATGAGATGAGCTTGGAGAGGTGGGCATGGGCCAGCCCATGTAGTTCTTTGTAAGCCAGGGAAAGTAGTCTAGATTTTATTCTGCTTTTTCGAGAAGCCATTGGAGGGTTTTATGCAAAGGAGTGGCATAATACAACATGTTTATAAAAGACCACCCTTCTACTTTCTGTCTCTCTGAATTTGGCTGCTGTATGTACCTCATACAAGTAGAATCATACACTGTTTTTCTTTTTGTAACTGGCTTATTTCAGTTAGCAGGTCCTCAAGGTTTATCCATGTTGTAGCATATATCACAATTTCCTTTCTTTATAAGGCGAATAATACTCTTTTGTAAGGCTGAGCGTGGTGGTTCATGCCTATATTCCCAGCACCTTGGAGGGCTGAGGTGGTGGTTCACTTGAAGTCAGGAGTTTGAAACCAGCCTGGCCAACATGGTGAAACCTTGTCTCTGCTAAAAAAAAAAAAATACAAAAGTTAGTCCAGTGTGGTGGCAGGTACCTGTAGTCCCAGCTACTTAGGAGGCTGAGGCAGGAGGATCACTTGAACCTGGGAGGCGGAGGTTGTAGTGACCCAAGATTGCACCACTGCACTCCAGCCTGGGTGATTGCGCAAGACTCTGTCTCAAGGAAAAAAAATGTCATTGTAATATACATCACATTTTGTTTATTCATCATTGATAAATACTTGGGGTTGCTTCCACCTTTTGGCTATTGTGAATAATGTTGCTATGAACACGGGTGGACAAGTATCTCTTCAACCCTGCTTTCAGTTCTTTTTGGTATATACCCAGAAGTGGAATTGCTAGATCATATGGTAATTCAGTTTTTTATTTTGTGAGGAACTGCCATACTGTTTTTCATAGTGGCTGTACCATTTTATATTCCCACCAACAGTGCAGAGAGATTCCAGTTTCTCCAAATCCTCGCCAACACTTGTTATTTTCTTTTTAATTTTTTTATAGTAACTATCCTAATGAGTGTGAGATGGTGGTTTTCATTTACACTTCCTTTTGCCATTTTTTAATCAGGTTTTTTTTTTTTTTTTTGCTGTTCAGTTTTAGGAGTTATATATTCTGGATATTAACCCCTTACTAGACATGATTTACATGTATTTTCACTTATTACATAAGTTACATTTTTTACTGTAATAAAATACACATAACATAAAATGTACCATCTTAACCATTTAAATGTACAGTTCAGTAGCATTAAGTACATACAGTACATTCACCTTTTTGTGCAGCCACCACCACTCTCCATCTCCAGAACTTTTTCATCTTCCTAAACTGAAATTCTACCCATTAAACAATAACTCCTCATTGCCTCCTCCAGCCCCTGGGAAACAACATTCTACTCCTAGACTACTTTCAGACTCCATTTCTTCCTTCACTTAATAAAAGAGAGGGTCCACTGCTGACTAATAGGATTGTTTTTATATGTGGAGGCCTTCTTGGAAACGTGATTGATTTATTTTAGAGAATAGTAATAGAAAATAGGGTTGTTGAAAGAAAAGAGATAGAGACAAAAACTGGTTGGGTGTTTTCATACTGGATGTCTTATCCGCAGGCCTCAGCATTCCTGCCTCGGTTCTGCCTGATTCTTTTACATCAAGAAGTTGATCTTGCTAGCCATTTCCATGTTGTAGATCTGCCAGCAGGTTTCATAGATTTCCCTTTGTTCCTGGTGGCATGGCTTCTCACAGTACAAAAATTAGCCAGGCATGGTGGTGGACGCCTGTAATCCCAGCTGCACGGGAGGCTGAGGCAGGAGAATCGCTTGAACCCAGGAGGCAGAGGTTGCAGTGAGCCGAGATCATGCCATTGCACTCCAGCCTGGGCGACAGAGCAAGACTCCATTTCAAAAATAAAAATAAATAAATAATTTGAGGAACAAATCTATTGTGATATGTTCTTTTGTAGTGTTTCATTGCCTTTAGGTTTAGGAAATCTGTCTCCATTCAGATATTTACCCGTATTTTCTAAAAGTTTTAATAATTTTACATTATCCTTTCTTATCTACCTGGAATTTATTTAGTATATGATTATGTGACCCACTGTGTTTTCAGTAGATTCTCACTTTGCTTTGTTGTAAAATATCTGATTAGAGATTCCATGTAATGATAGGTATTTTGAGATTGTTGTTATTGGAGATTATTTTGTTGGTCTTTAAAATGTCATTATCTCCTAAGTTTATTTTGTTTTATTTACAAGACACTATTGCAACAGGAACAAGCAAGCCAGGGGAAGATAAATAAGCTTCCTATGGAAGCTTAAATTTTATATTTACTCTACAAAGAGTTGTACTGCCTTAAGAGATTTACTTAATATTATGATTTGTTTTGTAGTACAAATTAGAAATCTGCCCACATATTTCCTTCTTTTCCTTAAAGTCTGGAGGGCCTGTAGAATGTGGCACGGGCAGGAGGATACAGGGTTTGTGGAGATGCACCGTGTATCACATATGTCTGTGCAAAACCATTCGTGTTAGGATCCTAAAACTATCATCAGTGGAAACACTGGCAGTTTTAGTGAGCTGGTCACATTTCATGAATGCAAGATGTTAGACTTCTATAGCAGGGTGTGTGTCATCTAGAGCAAGTTATTGACTGTACAGGTATTTGAGCTCCACCAGAATTCCCTAGAGGAAAGAAAGTGTGTTCCTCATTGAACATAATGGAAATAGTAAGACGTTCAGGCAGTCTGGTCTGCAGCATTCGAATGTTTCTTGCATCTCAAACTTCTTAAGACTGTGATTCCCATGTCTGTTTTCAGCGACTTCTCTTCGTGGTCTTTCCCAAAAGTAAAGTAGCTAATTGGCTGTGCTTCTGTTGCCCGCCCGCCTGCCTTCTTTCTTTTTTTCTTTCTTTCTTTCTTTCTTTTTCTTTCTTTCTTTCTTTTTCTTTCTCTCTCTTTCTTTTCTTTCTTTCTTTCCTTCTTTCCTTCCTTCCTTCCTTCCTTCTTTCCTTCCATCCTTCCTTCCCTCCTTCCCTCCCTCCCTTTCTCTCTCTCTTTCTTTCTTGGAGACAGTCTCACTCTGTCACCCAGGCTATAGTGCAGTGGTGTGATCTTGGCTCACTACAACCTCTGCTTCTCAGGTTCAAGTGATTCCCCTGCTTCAGCCTCCCAAGTAGCTGGGATTACCAGCATTCACCACCACACTCGGCTAATTTTTGTATTTTTAGTAGAGAGAGGGTTTTACCATGTTGGCCAGGCTGGCCTCGAACTCCTGACTTCAAGTGATCCGCTCCCTTCTGCCTCCCAAAGTGCTGGTATTACAGAGGTGAACCACCACACCCGGCCATGTGCATAACATCATTTATTTTCTTGAAGCACTTATGTAAGTATAACCCATTTAAGTCCTTATTTCACTGGCTTTTGGGATCACATTTTCCATTAATGCCCAATTCTTAATGATTTGAGCGCTTGCTTTTCTTAAATTCAGTTGAACAGTTTGTCTGGCTTTCCTCTCCAGGTATTTCTGGGACTTCCTGGGTAAACTGCTTGTCCTTCCAGCCAGTCCTTTGACCCATGGCCCATTGGTCACCAGCTTCCCTAAGGTGTTCTCACTGGTGTCACTTTGGCTCAAGTTTAGGCCCAGCTCCTAGATTATAGTTTGGGCCTAGTTCCTAGGCTATTAATATTTAATAAAGGATTTAACAGAAGGGCATCAGAACAAAGAGAACTTAAAGCTGCATATGAAATATGGCTTCACTAAAAGTATACTGGTCCAAGTTCTGCTCAGGGCTTCTCTCTTCCTGATGCTTGGCGTACTGCTGTCCATAGGGCTAGCCTATCTTTCCTCAGGGAGTACCCTGAAAACTACTGATTCCCCTCCAGGGTCAACTCCAAACTGTGATCAGTTAGCTTTGCTTTGAATAAAAATTGCCAGCCTTGGCAACATGGTGAAACCTAGTCTCTACAAAAAAAAAAAAAAAAAATTAAGTCTGTTGTGGTGGTGTATGCCTGTAGTCCCAGCTACTCAGCACTGAGGCGGGAGGATCACTTGAGCCCCCAGGAATTCAAGGGGGCAGTGAGCTGTGATCATGACACTGCACCTCAACCTGGGTGACAGGTTTCAAAAAATTAAAAAAATTGATGCTGCCTTTTAGGAGGCAGTGTAGCAATATATCTTGAAATTTTAAGAAAATTCACATACTGTTTGAACCAGCAATTCTACTTCTAGAAATGTACTTTTATGGATATATTTTCAAATGCTTGCCAAACTATATGTATGTACAAGAATATTAATAATAGCTTTGTAATAGCAAAACACTGAGAACAACCTAAATGTAATACAGGATTTAAAAAAAATACAGAGATGGTTCCTCCCTAACAAAGAAAGAATTGGCTTTGTTGAAAAGAATAACCTAGATCTGTATGTGGCTAACTTTTTTTTGTGCTCTGGGTCTCCATTGGATTTGGTAAAAACTGTAGTGCCAGAATATGATTGCCCCTGAGATGAAGCTGCTGGAGCATACAGTTGAGCTCAAGGTGCTGTCTGTTCTCCGGAACAGAACAAGCAAGAGTGTGGCTTCAAAGAGTATAGGTTACAGCAGGCCATCTAGTGGAGGCCTGTTGCCTCAGGGTCAGCTCCTGCCTGGTTACCCTGTTCTAGAGGTTGAATATGCTGTGATGTGCAGTGTATGCTTTATTTGTGCCCTTGGGTCTCCACTTCTGATTGGTATAGGTCTCTGTTTTTCTGCTTCTGACTTGGCTGTCCTAGGCACTTAGGTTTCTTCATTTGAACTCCTTCCTGGCCGATGCCTTTTCACTGTCCACCTGCTTTAGCCCCTTCACACCTTCACTACCATGAGCTTGCCCTCTGTCATTCCAGCTACCATGGTTCAGTCCAAGTCATCTCTCACCTGCACTGTGGAAACAGCCACCTGACTAACTCTTCACCTCAAAGCTGGATAAGTGGCTATATAATATGGGAGGCTTTCAGTGGACTTCGATTTGGGTGAGCCTTTGCTGCCCTCTTCTGGTCTCTAGCTGCTATAGCCGGCAGCTGCTACTAATTAACTTTTTCTACTTTGATTTGTGTTAACATTTCTGGGTGAAACTGCTTATGCTGATTGTTTTGCAGTAGTAGATCAAGTTGTAGCATGCTTGTAGATACTGCGTAGGCTAAATGCTGTTCAGCCAATATGCCTTTTCCCTCAGTGCAGCTTTATCTTTTGTTTTTTGGGTTTTTTTTGTATTTTTGGTGGAGATGGGGTTTCATCATGCTGTCCAGGCTAATCTCAAACTCCTGAGCTCAAATGATCTGCCCGCCTTGGCCTCTCAAAGTGCTGGGATTACAGGCGTGAGCCACCGCGCCCGGCCCAGTGCAGCTTTATGTTATTCAGTCCTTTTAGCTGGTTTTGGAGGAAGAAAGGAAACTTAGGGATGACAGCAAAGCTAGCTTCAGGGAAGATTTTGAAATTTATTTTTTCTGCATCCCTTTTCCTCTCTTTTCACTGCCCGCTTTCTGTTGTTCCTGTGCTTCATTTCTCCTTGGGAATTTACCAAGCGAGAAACGTAGAATCAGCCACTGCTGTGAAATATTTACATATCATTAACAGAACTATTTATTAAGCACATGGTATGTGCTAACCCCTTGCCAGATTTGGTAAGACTTAGTCCTTGGCTTCAAGAAGTTTACTATTTATTGGGCAGAAGTGTCAAGTAAATACAAAGTTGGAAGGCAGAATGATTAATGCTATTTTAGAACACACAGGAGAGGCCACTAACTCGGCAATAGAGATTGAGGTTGTTGGAGTGAGATTATAGTAGGGATACTTGGATGTGGATGTGATGGCAGAACAGTACTGACAGTGTTAACCAATGAGGAACTGCCTTCTCATTAGTAGAGGTCCAGAACTTCCAGCAGGTAAGCCATTCTTTACCCCAGCACCTCCTTTGACATTTCCTTCCATGTGAATGGTTCTTCAGCATTTGGACAAGTGGTTCTTTACCTGTAGCTGTTGAATCATGCCTTTCAATGCCTTAAAATAGGAGATGGTCCTCTTTCCATTTTTGTGCATTTTCCGTCATCCATTCTTCCCCCCAACATCGGTGTCAGTGATATACAAACAAAGCAGAACTGAGACTTGAGGAGCTTACAGTTTAACAGGAGGAAACAGATATTTGATAAACGCTGTAAGGTGTTATGATACAAGTGTGTAGAGGGATAAGGAGGACAGCCTGTAACCTCATAGTCAACTTTTTTGTAAAAAGATCCTTCAGATAACCATTATTTTAGATATTCCTTGATGTCTAGAAATGCAAAACTGGTCACAAAAATAAACTGTATATTTACCATTTGACAGACTATTAACTAGCACTTATTTAAATTTGTTTATGATTATTGTTTAGTGTGTTTTAAAATGTATTTGTAGCAACGGTACCCTTCAAATTCACAAGATTGGGAAATGGTTTTCTAGAAGCAGATAGTGAATTTCAGAATGAGATCTTTCTTATATATATATCCTAAGATTACAGTTGTTTTGCCTTAGTTAGAAATAAAGAAAAAACAGGACATCTAAGGAAATTTAACTCCAAGTCCAGTTAGCCAACCAGCAAATTTTCCCAAACATTTAAAGAAGGCGTTAACACCAGTCTTAAAGAAACACTTCTAGAGAATAGAAAGCAAGCCAGTACTCCCTGATTCATTTTCTGAAGCTAGCATAAGTCTTTGTAACAAAACTTGATAGGGACATTATAAACATGGAAAATTACAGGTAAACTCACTCAACACAGAAGCAAAAATTCTAAACAAACCAAATCAACCATTTAGAGCAATACAGTAAGCCTAAAATGGGCTGATTAGAAATGTGAATTCCTAACACCCCCAAACCAATCAAATTCACATATTAACAGAAAAGTCATATGATTAACTTGTAGATACAGAAGTTTTTCATAAAATCAAACATCCATTTATGAATTTTTTTTTTTAAGAGACAGAGTCTCTCTCTGTTGCCCAGGCTGCAGTGCAAAGGCACGATTTCAGCTCACTGCAACCTCCGCCTCCTGGGTTCAAGTGATTCTCCTGCCTCAGCATCCCAAGTAGCTAGGAGTACAGCCACGTGCCACCATGCCTGGCTAATTTTTTGTAGTTTTTAGTAGAGATGGCGTTTCACCATGTTGGCCAGGCTGGTCTCCTGACCTCAGGTGATCTGCCTACCTCGACCTCCTAAAGTGCTGGGATTGCAGGTGTGAGCCACTGCACCTGGCCCATGTATAAATTTTTAATATATTAGAAATGGCAGAGAACTCCTTTAATTTTCTAAAGGGGTCTTAAAAAAAAACAAAACTACAAACACCGTACTTAAATGTCGACAGTTTTTCAGTTGAGGTTTGGAATAAAACAAAGCTGTCTGGTTAGCACTGTACTAGAGGTCGTTGCCAGTGCACTAAGACAAGAAAATGAGTATATGTTGGAAAGAAAGAAATGGAACAGCCAGTATTTTCTGCCAAGTAGACAAGGATATAAACAGAATTGTTTGTATAGAAAACTCAAAAGAACTGAGATAAACTATTAGAATTAATAATTGAATTATATTAACAAACCTAGAATAAACCTAAGAACTAAAATATGCAAGACCTTGATAGAAAACTATAAAGCATTATTGAAAGAATTAAAGACTCAAGTAAATAGCTTATAGATTGCTATCTTTACAATATTTAATCTTCCTATATTCCTTAACTCATTTCTAGATCTAATGCAGCCCAAGAAAATCCCAGCAATTTCACCTTTTTCCTTGTCTTTTTTTCTTTCCTTCTTTTGAAATAATTTGATTCTAAAATTCCTATGGAAATTTAAAAGGCCAGAGATAATGTAGACACTCTGAAGGATAACCTGCTGTAACAGATGAAAGGAAGTCTTATAAAGCTGCAGTAATGACGATGGTGTGGATCAGCACAGGGATAAAGAGAACAGTGCAACAGACTACTGAACCCAGAAACAAACTCATGCATATGTGGCCACAGTTTTTTAAACAAAGGAGCAGTTGGCAAGTCTTTTTCAGTATATGATGCTGTGTCAAGTAGATGTCCGTATGGGGAAGAGGGCACTTGATTCCCTCCTCACCAACACCAAAAATCAATTGCAGGTGATGTGTAGATCCAAATGGAAAAGAGAAAATAATAAAAATTCTAAGGAAATAATATAGGTGAATGTCTTTATGACCCATGTGAAGGGAAATATTTCTTAAACAGGATAATGACAGCAACTAGAAACACAAACCTGAAACCATTAACTATAAAGATTTAAAGATGGGAGAAATTAATGGTGTGTTTTTGTGTTCTGTTAGGAATAATCCAATAAAGAGAAAAACATGATGGTATAAAAGAGAATTTGTAGAGTCACATTCTTTAAAAGGTGAAAAGTGGGTGAGATTTAGCATTGAAGAATAGGCTGAATTTGTTCACTAGGTGATCAGTTCTAAAATCCTATGCAGTTTTTGTATAGTGGCTGCTGTTATTCCCATGTATTAGAATGGCAGAACACCAGAGTAAACAATCTCATTGAATAACTACCAGAACCATCTGAAGGAACTTCAGCATTTTCCTGTTCAGTAAGCAATGTTTTGATATATTTTTATTTTAAAATTGAAGGGACTCAAATGACTTGGGTAGCTCTGGAATAACAGTAGTCATTCACAATTTTCACTTGTCAAGAAAACCAGTTTTTTAAAGGGAGCCTCAGAGTCAGAATTCTCAAAAAGCTCTTGCCAAAAGCACCTTTTCTTACAAATGCTGTACTGTCCCGTAGCCCTGTGTGGCTTTAAAAACTGATCCTGGACAATTCATTAATTGGACTAGCCACATTTCAAGTGCTCAGTAGCTACATGTCACTAGCTAGTGGCAGCCTTTTCGATGGGGCAGATGTAGAATATTTTTGTCATTGCAGAAAGTTCTATTAGTTCTGCAGTGGGACTTTCCACCTTTGTGGACAGACACCAAATAAAATTTTAGCTTGACTGTAGTTAAGTGACTGCTCTGGTATAACTTTAGCCCCTGCCACATTAGGTGTCAAAGGTGGCCCACCACTTTAAAAGCCTGCCTGCTCTTTGGGTGTTTACTTGCATGGCTTAAGATTTTCTGGTTAAGAAATAAATTAGAGGCTGTGCATGGTAGTTCACACCTGTAATCCCAGCATTCTGGGAGGCCAATATGGGAGGACTGCTTGAGCCCAGGAGTTAGAGACCAGCCTGGGCAACATAGTGAGACCTGCCTCTACAGAAAATTAAAAATTTAGCCTGGATTGCCTGAGCCCAGGAGTTTGAGACTGCAGTGAGATGTGATCCAGCCATTGCACTCCAGCCTGGGCGACAGAGCACCGTGTCTCAAAATACAAAAAAAATAAAAAAAGAAGAAGAAATTTAAAACTATCCAACCTGGGGTTGTGACAGCATTGTTGAAGATCGTAACCATTTGAGAGGTTTCAGGAAGCTTGCCTCACAAAAGGTTGGCTGAAGCTCAGAGGGATTTGCTGAAGCTTAGAGGTGAGGAATGCTGGAGGACTGTAATAGATTTTTGCTGCTGAGTTCAGCACTTGAGGAATCTGCCTCTCTTACAGTTAGATAGCTCCCAAATGTAACTTCCCTTTCCTTTCCTGATGTTCTTCTCCCCTTTCCCCTCTCTTCACATAGTCCTATCCAAGCTTGGAGGAAAAGCTACTTCAGGGTGGTCTGCGTTCTGTAGGGAGGATTTTTTTTTTTTTTTTTAAGCTTAGATTCTGGTGGAAGATCTGTAATTGGAAGGCGAATCCACAGTAGATTGCGATTTGTGAGGGATACAGAGGATAGAAAATAGGATACATTGGATAAACTTAAAGGTATGGTTGGCACTTTACCTTGAAGTGAAACAAACAAACAAAAAAAACAAGTTTAGATGTGATCATCTCCAAACTGGCTGCTTTGGGAGAGAGCCAGCCAGCTGGTTAACTGGGTTACATAATTCGAGTATGGGTTTGGGGTGGATATGTTCATAGGGACCTAATACCTCTTTCCAGCTTCTCTTTGTTTGTCCTGGAATTCCAAAACCTATGATGTTATTGCTGGAACTTTGATTCAGCAGTTGCTAAACACCTTCTCTTGTGTTTCTGGCACTAGACTTGGGCCTTGGGTTTAGTTTACACAGTCCCAACAGAGTCTGGGTGCTCAGTCTGATATGGGAGACAAGTGTACATAAATAATTACCATATAGTGTTGTTCATAAAGAGAATGTCCAAGGTCCAGAAGGTCCTGAAACAACATTTACTCTGATTTCCCCCATTTTCTACTGGTTGCAGCTGAGGCCCAGAGAGGGAAAGAGAGACTGGTTTAAGTAATGCCAAAAGAACTAGAACTTGAAAACCCGAGTTTTCTGTTGACTGGTCCTTAATAATTTTACTCTACCACCCTAAAATATGATCACCATCCTTGCGGGAAACATCTAATTTCTGCTTTAAAAAGTCCACCCCTTCCATGATGTCCTCTTGACTGCCCTCTCTCCTTAAGTCTGATACCACTTTACTATTTTTTCCTTGTATGGATTGTGCTTTTGTGGAAATTTTTATTTTCTCTCTTGTATCGTGATTATCAGGACAGGAGCCAAGCCGGCTTCAATCTTTGTTCTTATTTCCCCTCCCCAAGCGACATCTGAGCAACTGTCACACTTAAGGAAGCCTCGGACAAGTTGGGTTCGAACCTGTTGGCTTGCTGCATTGAGAGACACCTTTGTGTACTGCAATAAAAATTCTTACTTTTCGGGCCACGTGAATGCATTTATGCTGTAAGAACTACGTGAGGTCAGTTACTGTTTGATTGCGGAGTTTTGTAGGTAGGAGGCACGGAACAGTAGCAACAATTTACTAAGAGAAAATCTATAGGAATTGGAACAGGGCCCTGCGGTCCGCAGGGCAGCGGGGGGCGGGCTGGGGCGGGGCTGCGCAGTGGTGCTGCGCGCGGAGCTCTGTTGCCGGAACTGGTCCGAGTCGTGCGCCGGGCCGCGCGCAGCCCCGCCCCGCCCCGCCCCGCCCCCTTCCCCCTCGGGGTGGAAACAAAGGGGGTTCGGCGCGCGGTGCGGAGCCTGGGGGAAAAGGGAGGAGCGCTCCGGTGGTCTGGCGCGCTGGGCTCGCTAGGTTTGTGCTGGCGAGGGGACGGGGTGGGACGGGCGACCCGGACCCAAGAAGTGGGAGGACCGCGCGTGTCGCGGCCTAGCGGCGAGGGGAGTCGCCTGCGCGCGCAGCGGAGGCCAGTGCGCCGGCGCATAGGGAGCCCGGGTCTGTGATCGCCGAGGCGGGGTGAGGCGGGGTGCGGCGGGGCGCGGCGGGGCGGGGAGGGGCGTGGCCGGGCCGGGCCCCTAGTGCGGTGTTGCGGGACGGGGCCGAGGCCCGGTCGGTTGGGGCGTGGGGGCGGAGAGGATGGAGCCTCCGAGGCGTTAGGCGACTCTGTCATCTCTGGGCGTGCAGCCGTCGTTTCCTGGCGCGGCCCGTGTGATGGTGCCGGGAGGAAGGAAGCGCAGTGACAGTGCCTAAGTTGGAGCCGGGGTTCCGGGGGTGAGGAGGCCCGCGGACGGCGGATCTGGCGAGCTGGCCGCGGGCTGGGCGAGCAGTCACAATAGGAGGCGGCGGCCCAGCGAGGATCCGCGGGAGCTGCCCGGCAGGGCGGAGCCTCCCCTCGCAGGTACTGGCCGCCGCGGCCGTTGGCTGCAGCGCGAGGGCGGGACGGGCTGCGGGCCGTTGAGAGCCTGCGGGGCCGCGCCCGAGTCTTGGGCTAAGGTTTGCCTCGGCCGCCCGGCGCTCTTTGTTCCCGCGGTGGCGAGGAGGCGCGGTCTCAGCTCGCGGAGCCGCCGGCCCGCTGCCCGGCAGATGGCCTCGCTCTCTCGCTCCCTCCCTTTTTGCCGAGACGCAGGTGAAATGATGTCACCCAGGAGAACGCGGAACCCGGTCGAAAGGGTCCTCTCTGGCGTCCTTCTGCTTCCGTGGGTTTCTGGATAGGCTGCGTTTTGTTCTCAGGGGATGCAAGTTCTTCCTTTCAGGGTTGAAGCGTGAGAGAGGTTGGTTTTTGAAACGGGAGTGTTTCAGGTTATTGAGGTCCAAAAAGAAATAAAGTTTTTGTTTACGTCTGTATGGCTTGTAAGGTAAAGTATTTTTCTTTGTGTTGCAAAAATGATATATGCTATTATTCAGTAAAAGTTGGGTATGCTAATTCTACCGTAAGTAGAAACACACACATGTAATTATTGCCACCATTATATGAATTGCCATTTCTTTTTTCTTAAGCGGTGGACTTAACGTATGAAAACTTAAATGTATACAAAGCTCATAATACAGTTGTTACCTTAGAGTTGCAAGTCTGCTGTATTCTGTTTGGCCTTGATTGCGAGTGTTGTTATACTTGAAAATTTACCGTAAATTTTTTTCAATAGCAAACAAACCTTGTATGTAGGCTTTAAAAAAAATTCCCTTTTATAGGGACAGTTGGAATCGAAGTAAAATTGTTCCTATCTTCAGGGAACACCGTCTAATGGAAGAAATAGAACTTTTGTAGAGATAATACGAAACCACATACATATAGATGTCAGATCAGGTGTGGGAAGCTGGGACACACTTGGAATAAAAAGATGAAATTTCTGACTGGAAGTTTACCTGGGAATTGTGTCACTTCAGATACTCCTTTCTCTGGGGTTTATAAATATATATTTATAATATATTTATTTATAATATGGTATTATATAATATATTATATATATTTATAATATGGTATATTTCACCTTTTGCAAACCTGCTAATCATACATTGTTCATTCAATTTTAAGTTGATTTTTATGATATTTCTGTAAGACTTATTTCTAAGAGATTTGAAGGCCTTAGCGCCTATAGTTGAATAAGTTCTGCCACAGACTCGTCATGTGGGCCTCAGGCTCTCATCTGTAAAATATAAAAAAAGTTGGACTTAAATAATCTGTGGGTTTTCCACCTCTGACTTCGTCTGTGATTCTAGAAGGTAGTTCGTATTTCCATACTTGTTGGGCTTTATATGCCCATCTTGTTTTTATAGTTAAATTGTCAAGTATTACTCTGGGTGAATATTGAGGAGAATTTTCTCTACTAAAATAACCTAATTTTTGATGAAGAGTAAACAAGATGGCATAGTCAGACATAACTGACTGTTAGCATCATAATGTAGAGTGTAGATCTGTTGTCTCTCTGCCAACAGCATTGGATGAGGCTTTTAATTCATGTTACATTCCTAGGCTGTTTCTGTTTGTGCTCACTTTCTTTTTTTGAGGCTGTGAGTGGAAAGTGTGGGTGAGAAATTCTTATGATAAAAGTTTCTGAAATGATTAGGTACTTGCTCAGTATGGAAAGATTATTGGTCAAGATTATGTCTTCTAGTTTATTCCACCTATTTCTCTGTACTACCTCTAGTTTGGTTTAGGCCACCACCATTTTGTAATTCATCTTGCTGGAAAGGTAGTTCTTAATTAGTCTTGATTGTTGCGTTGTGTTTGTTTTGGTTTTCCTGCTAAGAAAACATGTCAGACAGTTTTCACTTCCATTTTACTCTACTTAACTCACAGCCTTTTCTCTGGAAAGAGCGAACAGATTGTAAACATGGATTTGAACAGTATAGTTCTTGTCTAGTTCATCAGCAAACGTTAATTAATACGACGTTATCTAGAGGAGATAAAGCATTAATACTTGAACTCTATATAGTAAATTAATGAGAGAAATTTAGAATAAACAGATGAAGAAGAGGGGTCATGTACACAGTCTCTTCCCAACTCTTACATCTTTCATTAAAAAAATTTTTTTTTAATTTTAGTTTTTCCAGAAACGGGTTTTGCTATGTTGTCCCTTCTGGACTCGAACTTCTGGGCCCAGGTGATCCTCCTTTCTTGGCCTCCTGAGTAACTAGGACTACAGGTGTTTGCCATGGAGCCTGCCTGCCTTAGATCTTTCCCTTTGTTAAGGATCTGAACTTTTCACCTCTTCTATCTAGGTTATGGAGCCCTATTATCTTCTTGTAGTTCCTGTTATTAATTGTCCCTCACTAGACTGAGTTGCTTTAAGGGTAAGGACTGTTTCTTTTTCCCATTTTGTAGTCACAGCATCCAGCATATGGCAGGCAAGCAATAATTATTTGAATTATGATTGTTATTTAATAAAATTATAACTCAATCATACCTCTTTTTTCCAACTATTGTAAAACCCACAATTATTGTGTAAGTAATTATATGTGTGTGCGCCGTGTGTGTGTTTGGAGAGAGGGAGAGGGAGAGAGTGTATAAAATTTTTTATTGGTTTGGACTTTTGTGGTCTAGATATTTTTTCACATCTGTGTAATTCTTTGTGGTAACCAACCTAAGTAAAACGATTTTAGACATACTTCTTTGAGGGGAGAAAAATCTTTGTGTAGGCAAATTTAGATTTTGGAAGGGAAGGAAAGAAAAGTTTATTTAAAATATGTAACTCTTATTTTTCCTACCCTTTATTTCTGCATTCTCTGTGTAATGGATAGAGGATTTCTTTCGTTGCATCTGTTTTCTTTTCCCTTTTCCTTCTTTTTCATCACCTTATGGGATTGTGGACTGGGGAAAGGAAGTAGGGGAGCCTTAGGCTGTTTTCACACACCCTATTTCTGCTGTGCTCTCAGAAAGAGATGGGTCCTGTTTGTTTGCCTAACTCAAGAGTGGGAACCATAATTTCTGTTTAGAAATGATTGTCCGGTGCTGGGCAGTAATGAACATCCTCACCCACATAGTACCAGTCCTTGAATGGTTTCTCCTAATACTGCCTATTAGCTTTTCAAAATTATTTTTAAATTATTTTTTAGCTCACGCCTGTAATCCCAGCACTTTGGGAGGCCGAGGTTGGTGGATCACCTGAGGTCAGGAGTTTGAAACCAGCCTGAATAATATGATGAAATCCTGTCTCTACTAAAAATAAAAAAATTAGTCGGGTGTGGTGACCAGCACCTGTAATCCGCTACTCTGGAGGCTGAAGCAGGAGAATTGCTTGAACCCAGGAGGTGAAGACTGCAGTGAGTCAGGATTGTGCGAGTCAGGATTGCGCCACTGCACTCCACCCTGGGCAACAAGAGCAAAGCTCTGTCTCAAAAAAAAAAAAACAAAACATATATATATATATATACACACACACATATATATACGTATATATACATGTGTATATACGTATATACGTATATACACACACACACACATATATAAAGCAAATTGTGACCGTTGTGTAGTGAGAGAATGATTTTTTTTTTATTCCTTTCAGTCTTTTTCATGTGTCATTTGTGTATGAGAACTGTTGAAGCTTAGAGATGAATGACTTAGAAATTTTGTCTTGGATCTCAAAGGGTAGTAACATCTCAGAGGGTCAGTTCTACCCAGTGTTTGGACCTCAGTTTTCCAGAACCAGGCTCTCGATTTTTTTTTTTAAAGAAGCTTTATTAAGTTATGTTTTATATACCATAAAATTCACTCCATTCAATTAGATTTTTTTGGTTACATTTTGAACATTTCTGTCATCCCCCAAAGATCCCTGTGCCCATCCAGGCCTGCCTTTTGCATAACTCTAAGCGTGCACAGTCCCATTCCTGTTTGCAGTGTTCTCTCCTGGACCAGCTTTGAAGAATGCCATCCGGGACTTTGAGTACCCCTGCTCCACACTGTCAAAATCCTTTCAGAGAACTCTGCTCCCAGAAAACAAAAGCCAAGGAAACAGATTTGTTTTAGGCCCAGTGATAGAACTCTTCTCAAAGGAAAGGTGACATTTAGGTCTAGTTTATTCTCAGAACAGGGAAAAAAAAAAATCCTAGCAAGGAGCACAGCATGCATCAGTAGCTCAATGATTTATTCTGCCTCAGTAGGATGGGGTGGACTTACTGGGCAACCACTGACTTCATTTAATGGTAACCTGCAGGTGAGTGCATCAGATCTCTTCCTTGATCAAAGCTTTTAGCTTGTCTCATTGCCAACCAGATTTCTAAGAAACTTGTTACACAAATCAGAAAGGCAGGCTGTTACATCATTTGCTTACAGTTTGGAAGATTATTCTTTTAATAAATAGTTGAATGCCTGCTATGTGCCATGTACTCTTCTAGGTGTTAGTGACATTGTGCTGAACAGGACATGGAGCTTATACATGTTCTCCTGAGTGTATGCTCAAGTCACCTCATTGATTTGGCTGCTCTATTTAATCTTTATAGGGAGTTCTCTGTTTTTCTTCCTAATATTCCAAGATAACTTTTTTCTTGAATTTATGAAGTCCTGTTCATATATAACCCTACCTTATGATCATAGCATTTAAATAATTTTCTCCTCCCCCAAGTAGTAGTGTTTCTGGTTGCTACTTTTTAATGGCTGCATAGTTCAAGCAAGTGTACCGTAATTTTACTTAGCAAGTATTTGTTAAACATTTAGGTTGCTTCTAGTTACCTTTTAAATTGTCGCTATTATTGTGCTGTGGTGACCATATTCATGCATATGGCTTTTCTCGTATTTTGGTATATAACCTGATAATTTGTCAGTTTAAATATTAGAGATTCAAACATGTTTTTTAAATTATTAATCTACCTAATTACTTCCAAGAGATTAACAGTTGCTATCATGGAAGTGGTGAGAATATTTGGAGTTTTGGATTTGACTTTATTTTACAGATAACCAGACTTGTAGCTAGAGGTGACACTAAGCACCTGACTCCTCATCTAATGTTTTGTTTTCGTCTTTTATATTAGGCTGTGATTTTAGTGCTTTTGACCGACCAGTTGGTATGCTGAAGAATGCTTTGTGGGCCTTCGTGAACACCTTATTTTGTAGAAGTACGTTATGTCATACTGGCTTAGAAGTCATGTACCTGTATCCTCTCTCTCACTTTTACTGGAGAAAAAAAAAAAAGGAAATGAACGAAGAAGGATGCTGTTGTCAGAAGCAATTTTAAATGTTTTGGGACAGTGTCTTGTCCTAAGTGCTAATTTTAGTGCGATAATTACTAATAATACCTGCAAGTCTCCAAGAAAAGTTAAATTGTTGGTTATGTTACCAAAACACAGAATGGCCAGATTAAACAAAGGATGTCCTAAAATAGTAGTGTTGATGCTTAAAAGGTTAAACTGTTTTCTGTAAACTTTAGTTTTGTGAAATAGGGTTTTCTTAGTTATGCTTAATGAATTAGTCATATGATTATATGGAAATAGACATTAAACATGATAAGTTTTGGGAGTTGCAGACTTAATGTGGTCTCAGGATGTTTCCTTGGCAGGACTTTTTAAATACAGGTTGCATTCTGGGAGAAAGCCAGAGTTAGCAAATCTGTAATGCTGAAAAGTTGCCAGCCTAGAGAAAAATTATATCAGTTTTCAGGAAACAAGTTTATTTTTAAGTACTAAAAATGGTTTTAAATAGGCCTGGTGGAATAGTTGATACTTACTAATCAAACTAGATTATAAAAAAGAATGTTACTTTAAAGTAGAAGGTGGTTTTGTGGGTTGAGTATGAACCTTAGAATTCGATAGACTTGAGTTCAGATTATGGTTTTGATATTTCTGAGGTATGTGACTTTAAGCAAGTCTGTTAAACCTGATGTTCAGTGTATAAAGATGGGAGAGCCCAGTTCAGTTTCTGGCATGAAGCTAGCTGTTACCAGATTGAGGCTTTAAAACCTGCTATACTGCTTAAATAAAAATGTGTTAATTTTTATATCTTTTGTAATCAAATCAGTGTAGCCAAAATTCTGGAGAAGAAACTTTTTCACTGTGGTACAATAATTTTTATTCAAGTTATATACATACACATTGTGTTTTCTGTAACAAATTACTACAAATTTATTTGTTTAAAACACAAATATTTCCTTACAATTTCCATGAATCAGGAGTCCTGGTATGGGGTTAGCTGCTGGGCCCCCAGGGTCTTACCTTGCAGGAGCTGTGATTTCTTTCTTTTCTTTTTTTTTTTGAGACAGTCTTGCTCTGTCGCCAGGCTGGAGTGCAGTGGCACGATCTTGGCTCACTGCAACCTCCACCTCCCGGATTCAAGTGATTCTCCTGCCTCAGCCTCCCAAGTAGCTGGGACTACAGGTGTGCGCCACCACGCCCAGCTAATTTTTGTATTTTTAGTAGAGATGGGGTTTCATCATGTTGGCCAGGTTGGTCTCTATCTCTTGACCTTGTGATCTGCCCGCCTCGGCCTCCCAAAGTGCTGGGATTACAGGCGTGAGCCACTGTACCCGGCCCAGAGCTGTGATTTCATCCGTGTCTCCTTCCAAGTTCACTGGTAGAATGTGGTTCTTGTGATTATAGGACTGAGGTCCCCCATTTCTTGCTGGTCGTCAACTGGTGACTGCTTTCAGCTCCTAGAAGCTGCCCTCAAGCCCCTGCCACATGGTACCTTTCGCATGCCTTCTCACAACATCTTAGTCTGAAGAATTGGCAAGAGAATCTCTTGGGAAGGACTCAGTTCTGCTTTCTCTGATTAAGTCATGCCCAGGCTCACCCAGGATAATCTGTCTTTAGCTTGAATTCACCTTACTTGGAATCTTCATTACATCTGAACGTCTTTCCTCCTTTGTCATATGATTTAACCTAATAATGGGAATGAAATACATCACATTCACAGCCCTGCCTGCGCACATGGGGAAGGGGGTTGTACAGGAGATGGACACCAGAGGTAATCTTGGGCAACCTATGTATGGGACTGCCTGCCCCACACACACACACACACACACACACACACACACACACACACACACAATGTGTGTGTGTGATTTTATTTTACCTAGTAGTAAAAATTGTACCTCATTTTAATCAAGCCCATCTATGGTTTTGTCCCAGACTTATTTTGAATATAGCTTTTCTCCATTATATTGGTCCATCCTTTTTAAGACAAATGGAGCCTCTGATCAAAGGAAACTGTTGTGAGTAGGAGAGGATATGCTTGAAAATTATGGCCACAGGGACCAGGTTGGCCAGTTTTTCATTTGTCTATGACCAAGATCTTAAGATTTCAAAGGAACAAGGAATGAAGGAGAAGAAACATAACCTTGATTTGTCTTTTCCCAGCCAGCTACTTGTACTAGCAATTTTGTAAGACTGCTTTGGGCATGATAGTTGAAGGCAGGATGGCCTTAGGATAACACGCTACAAAGGATACATAATGAGCAAATGAAAAGCTTAAGAGGATGCAAAAAGATTCCTACATAAAGAAGCAAACCATTTTGAGAGAGTGGCAAAAGCCCTCCTTAGATTGAGTCAGGAATGTGAAATACTCCTTTTTCTATGAAATCTTAACTCTTACCTTCACATTAATTCAGAACTCTTACTCCTAATTTTTCCCTGTTTTATGGCCTTTAAATATTATGTTACAGTTGGCTGCTTGCATCTGGGTTTCAAAAATTGTTAGAATAAGCTTCTTGAGGTTAGGGCCCATGTTTTTATATCTTATTAGATTAACAAATACTTATTTTTAGAAATTGTCTCACCATGTTGACCAGGCTGGAGTATAGTATTGCAGTCATAGCTCACTGTAACCTCAAACTACTGGGCTCGAGTGAAGCTCCTGCCTTAGCCTCCTGAGTAGCTAAGACTACAGGAGTGTGCCACCATGCCACACTAATTTAATTTTTTTAATTTTTATTTATTTACTTATTTTTTTGAGTAGAGATGGGGTTTTCTCTATGTTGTCCAGGCTAGTCTTGAGCTCCTGTACTCAAGCTCTTCTCTCACCAGGGCCTCCCAAAGGGTTGAGATTACAAGTGTGAGCCACTGCATTTGGCCTGTCTCTATATTCCTAATGTAATTCTTGGCTTGTAGGAGTCAGTCAGTAAATACGCCTTGATTCAGCAATGCATACTTCTGCGTAATGGTAAAGGATAGCACATTCATGTTTGTAGTATAGAGATCAGAACATTCTGTACAGAAAACTAATGAATTCTAAAGTTTCTGCTTTCAAGTGCTTTGTTTTTTACTTCTAGGTGAGTCTTTGGAAGTATTTTTACTCTTACCAGTGGGCACAGTTATCTGTTTACCAGGTCCATAGCAAAGCAGAAACAAAATACTATAAAAAGGCTAAGGAAGGTAAGGGTATTAATATATTAACAGCAGGGATATTAATAGCATTTCATTTTATGATCGGTTTCTGGCTGCTTCCTTACTATCTAGCCATACTAAACGTTTTGCAGTTTCCTGACTACACTGCTGTCTCTTGGCAGCTACTTCTCCATAGCACCTAGTGCCTAGCGTTACCATAATACTTACATCCTGCAGTGATTTACTTTTGTTTCTTTCTTATAGCATATACTTTTTGAAAGTAGGAAACGGGCCGGGCGCAGTGGCTCACGCCTGTAATCCCAGCACTTCGGGAGGCCGAGGCGGACGGATCACGAGGTCAGGAGATCGAGACCATCCTGGCTAACACAGTGAAACCCCGTCTCTACTAAAAATACAAAAAATTAGCCAGGCGGGGTGGCGGGCGCCTGTAGTCCCAGCTACTCTGCAGGCTGAGGCAGGAGAATGGCGTGAACCCCAGTGGGTGGAGCCTGCAGTGAGCCGAGATGGCACCACTGCACTCCAGCCTGGGCGACAGCGAGACTCCATCTCAAAAAAAAAAAAAAAAAAAAGTAGGAAACGATGCCTTTGTTTTTGGTTTAATGCCTGTCACCAAATAGATGCTTAAATGTAGGATTGAGTGAATGAATGAGGCAATGAAACTCTAAAAAGAAGACCATGTTAAAGTATGTAACTTTTAGTGTAGGTACAAGAAGGGACCACGAGCCTTAACCCCCCAAGAAGAATTCACTGTCACAGCACAGTGGAACACATTATGTTCATGATTTTTTTTTTAATGTTACAGAGTAAGTATATTTACATATGAATTTAAGAGGATTAACCCATAATCAAGTCAAACATTTATTTTTGTTTTTTAATTTTTGTAGATAACTGGGGCGATCCTCCCACCTTGGCATACCAAAGTGCTGGGATTACAGGTGTGACCACTGCATTGGCCAAATCAAGCATTGGAAATGTGGCAGTCATTTACTTTTGTGCTTATGATTGTGTCCTTTATTCCTTAGGAAGGTCTTTAGGTTTGTGTTGAATAGAGCTGAGATTTCTGCAGTCAAACATATGTTTGCTATAGAAAATTTGCCACAAATATTGTTAAATCTGTCATTTTCCTTTGCATGATTATTTGGAAGGTTAACTAAAAAACAGAATGAGAAAAAGTATTAATCTTGGTCCAGGCAAACACTTAACCTTTCTGTACTTAAGATATGTAATTTTACCTTGGGTTTTCTTAGCATGAAGTCTGTCCTTTAGGATTTCGGAATTAACACCAGCAGAAAAAGTTACCAATAGGTATTTGGGAAACAGGAAGGACGTGGTGTTCTTGGGCTGTGCTGTTTTGCCTCCAACAGTTTTTGTAAGAGAGATCCATTGCCAGAGGCAACCTTTGCCATCTTTATGTTTTGATGTTTAAAATTAATTTTTAATTTCTTTCCTGTCTTCGCTAGCAGAATCATCAAATACCTAGAAAATCCAGACTATCCTTCATAGGCGTGATTCTCCACATTGGTGCAGCTAGCCATGAACTATCCTTTTCTTCCTCTTTTTCCCAGATATCTCCCGGGGCCAATTCAGCATCTCTACCTGGCCATCCTAACAAGGTGATTTGTGAAAGGGTGAGACTTCAGAGCCTGTTCCCTCTCCTCCCAAGTGATCAGAACACTACCGTTCAAGAGGATGCTCACTTCAAAGCTTTCTTCCAGGTTCTTATATATTTACCCTTTCCCTACATAGGGCTGAAAGTCACATTCTACAGTGTTTCTAGGAAGGCTTGAAACAAAATGCCCAATATCGTCTCCTTGTTTTCTGTTGTATGTGGAAATAAGTATTCTTCTTAGAGGACTTTAATATTTTTTCAGCCAGCTTTTCTGACTAATGTTTGTCTTCTTGAGCTACTCAGCTACTGTTAATTATTTGACTACTTAATATTCTTGTGTTTTGATCTTTTGGTCTTAAATCACTTGTCCTAATAGGTCAAGTTCTGTAGGAAAGTAGAAGATAGTGTAGAATATATGAAGTTGTGTAGGAAAGGAAAAATGAAAGCATGTAAGATGTTCACTAGTTACTTGCTTGGCACCCAGAGTTCGATAGTAACATACATTTCTGAGAGAAAACATGGTTACTTGTCTTCTTTTACCTGTGGGTAAACGTGAGTTAAAAATTTTTTTTTAAATATAAAATGAAAACTCGAAAGTAAGGTGTGTAAATGGATTGAAACTCATTAGGTTATTAACAAGATTACTGGAATCTGCCCATAGAAATCATTGGCTACCAAACTTTCAATCCATATTCCTAGAGAAGCATGTTTTAGTAGTGGAAGTCAGTATCGCTGTTACCACAAAAGTTAGGTTACACAATTGCCTCTGAGTGGTAGGATTGCAGGCCAATGTGTATAAACCTGAGGTAGTGAAATAATTGATCATCAAGGCTGGGACTTTTGAATAAGAGCCAGCTCATTTTCTGTTTGTATGAAAGTGAAATGCTTGTGACACATAAAGTTGGAGATAAAAAATTTGGAGGGATAGGTGATCTAGGGCTCTTCAGTCTGGTATTCCTTCTTGGAATTTGTGCCAGGTTCTCTGCTTTGCATGTATTAACTCTTTTTGTTTTTAGCCCTCACAATAAACTAGTCATTGATAGTTTTTAAGATGTGGAAACAGGCTAAGAAAAGCTCAGTGAGGTGTCTAATCACATATGTAGTTATTTGGCAGAGAAGGGGCTCCAATCTAACTTTAGCTGTATCTTGTCTACTATGTATTTGTGGAAGAAATGGACTTAATACCCTTAATACTGCCACCAATAAAAAGGGTTTTTTTTTTTTTTTTGGATACTTTTCTCCATACTCCCTTTGTGTTTTCAAACAGTAACTCAATATAAACTTTAATTTCAGAGAGTAGCTGCCAAATGCAGTAGATTTAAATTCATGTTTTGAAAACAAAACAAAGAGCCAATTGCATTTGAGTGTTGCAGAAAGATGCAATGTATTGTTGTTAAATTTTTATTTAAATAGTTTTAATTTAACTTAAGCCTTATTTTCCTTGAACCTTAGAACAAAGCCCTCAATGAACTTTGGGGCGGGGGTGGAGGGGGATCTAGAAGGTTTTTTTTGCCCAGAAACTGCCCTACCACTGTTCGACATGAAGCAAAGTAGATCTTTCTCACAACCCCTTTGAGATACTGATACCTTCAGCTAGTTGATATCTTTTAAAAAAGGGTGTAATTTGTTAGTTCCAGTTATGCTTCTTATCCTTAAAAACTTAGTTACCACATGCAAAGAAAAACCTACCCAGCCATCTAGTGTCACAAAATTATTCCCTTAATGTGTTATGCTTTCTTATTGGCTTTCTCCTCAAGTACCTTCTCTCCCAATTCTTTCTACTTTTCCTTCTTTTTAGAATAATCTGTTTTAAACAGATTTGCCTGTGTTTTCATTTTTTTCTAAGGCACCCTCTCTGCTTCCTTTAAACTCCTGTCTTTTCTGAGGACATCAACCTTCTCTAGGAGTAAAGAAGTTAATTGATTGATTTCCACCACCCCCCACACCAAGCATGAGGAGTTGGGTGTGTGGCTAGTCAAGTGGCCATATGGGAGAAAAAATGTGTTGCTACACTTCCTGGATTCTTACTGTTGTTTCTACCACCAGTCTTTTTGAACAAAAAAAGTTATCCTGTTTTTGAGCTTTTTTTTTGTCAGTCATATCTATTATTTATCAGTTCTGTCATTGTCCTTGTTTATTACAAACTTCTACATTTTGCTTCTCATATTTGCTTGTTTTGTATTGCTCCTAGTCAAGACTTCTTTTTAATTGCCCAAAATTCAGGGTTTTCGTTTAAATTTTACATGCTTTGTGAAATAATATTTGTGAAATATTTCATATATGCAATTTAGAAAATGTAAAGCAGACATCTATATAATAATAAGACCATCTAGTATAAGAAACCAGCCATTACCAACACTTTTGAAGCCCCCATATGACCCTCCATGTTATATCCCATACTTGTGCCTCACGTACATCTCTCTTCAGTATCCTTTTGTTTTTCTGTATGGTTTTACCATATAAAATATCCCTTGATATTATACTGTTTAATTTTGCTTGTTTCTGAAGTTAGTATAAATGATGTCACACTTTGTATACTTTTTAAAAAATTCATCCCTACTAGTGTATCTGCCTGTATATACTTGATTTATTTTATTGTTTTTAGTTTTCTATTATATGACTATACTGCAGCTTGTCTCCTTTCTTTTTGCTTGACATTTGGGTAGTTTCCTGTTTTTTTTGTTTTGTTTTGTTTTTGTTTTTTAATGCTATTACAGGCAGTGCTTCCAGTAATATTTTGTATGTGCTTCCCGGTGCACATTTGGTTGGTATTTTAATGTTTCTGTGAAAATGATGGCTTTGTGTACTCATTGCCCACAGAAGAGGTGTAAGTGTAGGCTCATTTGCATCTCTATAAAAACCCATATTTAAAATTAGAATCTTAAAGTGCTTCATACAATATTTTAAACATTTTTAAATTAAGGTATACTTAACATAAAATTTACTTTTTTAGCATATAGGTTTGTGAGTTTGACAAATGCATACAGATGTGGAGTCACCACCACAATGAATAATAAAACACCCCCCAAAATTCCCTGATGTTTCTTTGCTGTCAACCCCTGTCTTAAAGTTTTAAAATTAGGCATGTCTTTACTATCAGTGGATTCAATGGTTGTGATTGAAGATAGTAAGTTTTCAAAAGGTAATTAAGTACATGGTGAAATAATTTTATATCTGGCACAACCATTAATTTTAGGGGTGTTTGTGGTATCTTAATGACTGCTATGTTATAGCTTTTATTTTGTAAATTTGTTAACAGAAAGGGGTCCTGATCCAGACCCCAGGAGAGGGTTCTTAGATCTTGTGCTAGAAAGAATTTGAGGTGAATCCATAAAGTGAAAGCAAGTTTATTAAGAAAGTAAAGGAGAGCAGCCCTAAGGCCTGCTGGTTGCCCATTTTTATGGTTATTTCTTGATTATGTGTTAAACACGGGGTGGATTATTCATGCCTCATTTATAGACAAGGTAGGGGCTCCCACACGGTGGCTCGCACCTGTAATCCCAGCAATTTGGGAGGCCGAAGCAGGTGGATCACTTGAGGTCAGGAGTTCGAGATCAGCCTGGCCAACATGGGGAAACCCCGTCTCTACTAAAAATACAAAAATTAACCAGGCGTGGTGGTGCGCACCTGTGGTCCCAGCTACTCAAGAGGCTGAGACACAAGAATCGCTTGAATCCGGGAGGCAGAGGTTGCAGTGAGCTGAGATTGTGCCACTGCACTCCAGCCTGGGCAACAGAGCAAGACTACCTCTCAAAAAATAAAAATAGACCATATTGGGTAACTTCCTGACATTGCCATGACATTTGTAAACTGTCATGGTGCTGGTGGGAGTGTAGCAGTGAGGATGACCAGAGGTCATTGTCATCACCATCTTGGTTTTAGTGGGTTTTAGCCGGCTTCTTTACTGCAACCTGTTAATATCAGGAAGGTCTTGTATCTTGTGCTGACCTCCTATCTCATCCTGTGACTCAGAATGCCTAACGTGATGGGAATGCAGCCCAGCAGGTCTCAGTCTTATTTTACCAAGCCACTGTTTAGTATGGAGGCACTCTGGTTCAAACGCCTCTAACAAATTTACTAAAGTTAAATTAGGTGAATGAAAATTTGAAAAGCTATACACATAGAGAAATATGCCAGGTTTCTGAAAGAGAAAATTATTGTGAAAATATCTATATTCTAGCAAATTTGTAGACTTAATGAAATTTCTAGCCAAAATATCAGCAGAATTTTGTTTTTAGAGCTTTCAGAATTGTTTTTAAATTCATATGGAAGATTATTGAAGAAAAGGGGGAAAAACTTTTCCAAAAATTGTCATAAGGGGAGAAATATGCCATAAGAGATAGCAAATCCTATTAGAAAGAAATAGCTCTGTCAGAGACCTCTGTGTTGGTATTAGGTTGGTGCAAAAGTAATTCTGGTTTCAGACCGTGAATTTTAAATCATCGTAGTTAGGCCCAAACACATCTTTATTACTCAAAATGGGAACCATTACAATCAACACATTTTTACCAACGATAAATAAGTTTGTTTATTCTGGTAGCATAAAAATCACTGCTTCGGGATTGGACGTACTCTTGGAAAGTATTTTCTGCATCCTGCTGGTTGTAGAAGGCTTTTCCCAGCAAAAAAGTTGGTTGTCGAGATGCTTGAAGAAGTGGTAGTCGGTCAGCGAGAGGTCAGGTAAATATGGCAGATGAGGCAAAACTTTGTAACCCAATTTGTTCAATTTTTGAAGCGTTGGTTGTGCGACGTGCCAAGAATTCAACGAGAAGAACTGGGCCCTTTCTGTTGACCAGTGCTGGCTGCAGGCATTGTAGTTTTCGGTGCACCTCATCAATTTGCTGAGCATACTTCTCAGATGTAATGGTTTTGCAGGGATTCAGAAAGCTGTAGTGGCTGGGCACGGTGGCTCATGCCTGTAATCCCAGCACTTTGGGAGGCTGAGGCGGGTGGATCACCTGAGGTCAGGAGTTCAAGACTAGCCTGGCCAACATGGTGAAACCCCATCTCTACTAAAAATACAAAAATTATCCGGATGTGGTGGCACATGCCTGTAATCCCTGCTACTCGGGAGGCTGAGGCAGGAGAATCACTTGAATCCGGGAGGCGGAGGTTACTGTGAGCCGAGATCGCGCCATTGCACTCCAGCCTGGATGACAAGAGCGAAACTGTCTCCAAAAAAAAAAAAAAAAGCTGTAGTGGATCAGACCAGCAGCAGACCACCAAACAGTGACTGTGACCTCTTTTTGGTGCAAGTTTGGCTTTGGGAAGTGCTTTGGAGCTACTTCTTGGTCCACCCACTGAGCTGGTTATCGGTTGTTGTATAAAATCCACTTTTCCTCTCATAACAAAATCTGATCAAGAAATGGTTCCTTGTTCTTGTGTAGAATAAGAGAAGATGATACTTCAAAACGATTTTTTTTTTTTAAATTTTCGGTTAGCTCATGAGGCACCCACTTAACCGAGCTTTTTCACTTTTCCAATTTGCTTCAAATGCCAACCTACCATAGCATAGAACAATTCATGTTGAGTTCTTCGGCAACTTCGCATGTAGTTGTAAGAGGATCAGCTCGATGATTGCTCTCAATTGGTCATTGTCAACTTCTGATGGCCAGCCATGCTCCTCATCTTCAAGGCTCTCGCCTCCCTTGCAGAACTTCTTGAACCACCACTGCACTGTATATTCGTTAGCAGTTCCTGGGCCAAATGCATTGTTGATGTTGCAAGTTGTCTCTGCTGCTTTATGACCCACCTTGAACTAAAATAAGAAAATTGCTTGAATTTGCTTTTTGTCTAACATCATTTCCTTAGCCTAAAATAAACATAAATAGCAAGTAATAAGTCATTAACAAAGAACATAAAGTGAGAAATTCCCATTAAAATGATATATAACATAACCACATTTATTTAAGAACGTATTCCAATACCAAACGGCAAATTCCAACACTGCATAAACTGCAGTTATTTTTGCACTCACCTAATACATCTGGTGGATATTTTTCAGCCCTTCATCCTGCATCCTTGAAACCTCCTTCGCCTGGCTTCCATCACACTCCACCCTCCTGCTAATCAAGTACCCAGCATTAAATGTTGGTGTTTCTTAGGTTTCCGTATTGGGCCTTGTTTTCATTACATAAACTTTTGAGGGGCAATTTTGTCTATGTCTGCAGCTTCATGAATGATGATCTGTATATCAACACTCCTAAATTTATATTCCTACCCTCTGAGCTTCAGCTGTTTACAGAACACCTCCAGGCGGGGTATCTCTCAAAGGATCTCTTGATTTCAGGTTGTTTTAGTATCTTTCCTATTTTCACTGGTTTCATGTTTATACTTTAGATTTTTTGTTTTAGTCTCTTATCTATAATTATAGCTTAAAATTATTATAGTTACAGATACATGAGTAGAATCTAGTATTCTGGTAGAAATATAGTGATACTTACAATTGTAGCATCAAGCTAAATTAGTTTTTGTGAACCAGTGATGTTTTGTGTAATTAGGAACTGTGAAAAATATAGTATATAACATCACTAGTCTGTTACTCAAATACTAGCCATGCAGGCCTCCTTAGACTTAGGAAACCACTTTATTTATAGTTCCTGTGTTTTGGTGGACTAGCAGTTATAGCCAATGATAGGAAAATACCGTATTTTACTATTCATCATGGTGTGATTGCAATACGTTATACTACTAGAGTGCCTTTCTGAGCAGCCACTGCATATCAAACTGTTATTTTCTTTGGGCTTCGGTTTAAAAAAAAAAAAACTTGGCACGTATCAAAGAGCAAAATTTTTTTGTTTCTGCATGTTTATGGTAACTTTTGAAAACAACATGGTAACTTTTGAAAACAACATTCAGAGCCTCTTCTATATCTGCAAGTAAAATAACATTTCAGGAGAATATATTAGTTGTCTGGTTGAGAGACAGAATTTCATTGCAAAATTGTGATCTGAGGAGTATAAGAATTATACATCAAATGAAAGTCCTATGTGAAATGAGACTGTGTACATTATGTAGTTCAAGGGCAGCATGTTCACTGAACTGCCTTAAAAAGTTTCAGTTTCACTAATAGAAACACATTTAGGCCGGCCGTGGTGGCTCATGCTTATAATCCCAGCACTTTGGGAGGCTGAAGTGGGCGGATCATGAGGTCAAGAAATAAAGACTGTCTTGGCCAACATGGTGAAATACATCTCTACTAAAAATACAAAAATTGGCTGGTGCGCGCCTGTAGTCCCAGCTACTTGGTAGACTGAGGCAGGAGAATCGCCTAAACCCAGGAGGCGGAGGTTGCAGTGAGCTGAGATCGCGCCACTGCACTCCAGCCTGGCAGCAGAGCGAGACTCTGTCTCAGCAACCAAAAAACCACATTTTACGTATTATCTGGACATAGTTTAAAAATGAAAACCTCAGCTTGTGGAGAATAAAATGAGGTAATGTTAGAAGTCATTTTGTAAACTATTGTGTGATCCAAATATAAAATTCTTAATTTTCTGCTTTCCCCAGCTTATATCCATCTTCTGCAAAACAAAAAAGGATCTTGTCTTATTTTTTAGTAACAAGTTGCTTATATAGAGTGTTGATTTCTAAGTGTTTTCACATTTATTTAAAATGAATAAAATTTAGTGAGAGTTTGCTCTTCCTGGGCCCTTTGCATTTAACTGTTTTTCCTTAATTGTGGAATAAGAAACTTCATTTTTGTTAAAGGTAATTAAGGCAAGTAGAGAAAGTCTGGGAGTTTAAAGGAGAATTGAAGATTCTTAACTCATGCTGTGCTTATTTGTAAATCTAAGGTGAAGAGTAGTCCTGACTGATTAGAAAGAGGACCAGGTTCTTGAGAAATTCCATTTCCCCACACAAGTTGCCTCTTTGCTGCTTTGGGAAGGAAGTCCTTAGGGCTCACTAGTGGTTGCCATTAGAGGCATGTTGTAGTCACTGAGTAGAACTTGAAACCTGTTTCTGTTTTGGGAAAAGTTTGTCTGGCTCAGCATCTCCTATTATCTCTAAGACTTGCTGATATATATATAAACCCAAGATATATATTACATATAAAATTGTTTTTCTTTAGCCTTTAATGACTTCTGACTTGTTCATCTGGAATTATGGAATGCATTCTTATGCCTGCCTCAGGTTCATTTCACTTCTGTTGATGTTTTGGTAATAAAAATGGTTTGGTGTTAATAGAGGTGTACTCCTAGACTCATTTTTATCAGATTTAATGCTAAGCATAAAACCTGCCTTTCCTTCCTTCCTCCCATTATGACCTCTTTGACCTCCCTTGATCCCTAAATCTGTAGCAGTGTTCTATACTGTAATGTCTGTACAACGTTCTATATTATTAAATAATAGAGACAGTACTTGTACCAGATTTGAATCAACATCTTATGAATTTTAAATTGTCAACACTTGGTACTTTGAAAAGTTGGTCCACTGGCCTAGAATCAACAAGGAGAGGAGGGAAAGAACTTCTCTGCCTGATAATTCAAAATCTAAATTATCCAAGCATCATCACCTGGGATAATAGTAGAGATGACAGTTCATGGACCTCTGGTCCAGACTTTCTGAATTAGAGACGGGGGAGTGAGGCCAGCAAGCAATCTGGTGTTTCTGAAGCATGAAGGTTTGAGAACTACTGGCATAGGTATTAATGGAAAGACCCAACTCTGTGAAAACATTTTAAAGAGGTTTATTCTGAGACAATATGAGTGACCATGGTCTGGGAAACAGTCTCAGGAGGTCCCAAGGAAATGTACCCACTACAGTCGAATTACAGTTTTAGGGAGGCAGGAGTTACAAAGTCATAAATCAATACATGGAAAGTATACATTGTTTCAAACCGAAAAGACACAGAATATCTTGAAGTGAGGACTTAAAGATTTTAGGTGGATTCAGAGATGAGATTCTGTAATTTGCAGTTGGTTTATAGAGTAAAGCTTTGTCTAAAAATTTGGATTCAGCAGAAGGGAATCTTATAAGAAAGTCTGTTAACCAATACACTGGGTTAGAGTGACCTGTAGGGGTGTGTGAGTTAACCCTTGTCTGGCTTGGCCTTAGGTCCTGTTTATAATTTGGTATCTTATTGTCACAAAAAGTCCATTCTGTTAGGTCCTATAATTTCTATTTTAACATTAATGCTGGTCAGTTTTGCCTAAACTCCAGAAGCAGGGGATGGAGAGATAAAATGAGGTGTATCTAGTCTTCCTTCCTGTCCAGGCCAAGAACTCAATTTTTCTAGTTTCTCTGGGGTCTCTGTAGTCAAGAGAGAGTCAGTTCAGTCATTTGGGGGGGATTTTATTTTTAGTTTACAAAAGCAGTGGGAATATCCTTCCAGATTCAGTTTTGTATTTACTCATGTAAAGAGACCTTGTAGTAGCGTAGTTCTGGATGAGTTTTTATGTTTTTATGTTTAGAGGTTCACAGACAGCATGGATCGTGAAAATCTGAACCCCAAATAGGGTGTGAGGAGTGAACCTAAGTTTGAATTCTCACGGGAGAAACCCACTTCCACTCGAAGTCAACACAGAGCAGACATTTCCTTATTGACGTTTCCTTCTCTTTTCCACTGGAATGACTTTTTCTTGTCTTCCTTTTTAAGTGTACTACTTTGGAAATTTTGACTACTTCATGTAGGGGTCTCAGTCATAAGGCCTTATCTTCTATTCCTCTTGAGAGCATCAAAAATACAAATTTGGTCTTCAGTTTTCCTCAGTTTCTGAGTCCTTGATGATTTCCCTTTTTTCCCCTGCATTTAGCACTGCATTTTAAAAGCATGTTTGTTAGCCAGGCGTAATGACTCAACACCTGTAATCCCAGCACTGTGGGAGGCCGAGGTGGAAGGATTGCTTGAGCCCAGGAGTTTGAGACCAAACTGGGCAATATAGTGAGACCTTGTATCTCCAAAATTTTTTTTTAATTAGCTGGTCATGGTGGTGTGCACCTGTAGTCCCAGCTACTTGGGAGACTTAGGTGAGAGCATCTCTTTAGCCCGGGATGTGGAGGTTGCAGTGAGCTGAGATCGTGCCACTGCACTCCAGCCTCAATGACAGAGTGAGACTGTCTTTAAAAAAAAAACAGGCCGGGCGCAGTGGCTCACGCCTGTAATCCCAGCACTTTGGGAGGCCAAGGCGGGCAGATCACCTGAGGTCAGGAGTTCGAGACCAGCCTGACCAACGTGGAGAAACCCCATCTCTACTTAAAAATACAAAATTAGCAGGGTGTGGTGGCGCATGCCTGTAATCCCAGCTACTCGGGAGGCTGAAGCAGGAGAATCGCTTGAACCCAGGAGGCGGAGGTTGCAGTGAGCCGAGATCCTGCCATTGCACTCTACCTGGGCAACAAAAGCAAAGCTCCATCTCAAAAAACAAGCAAAAAAGTATGTTATATTTAAGCCATTATTTTTAGATTTTTGTATTTTGATTTTCACTAAATGTCCGTGATTTTATCATAAACATTTAGAGTTTACATTAATAGAGTTTATACTTCCATTCTGTTCTGTAACTACAGTAGTGATCTTTCATGCCTTGTCCTAGGTTGATTTTAACTATCAGAAACTAGTAAACACTTTGCATCATGTTAGGAACATCCATATATTTAGTCATTGCAGAACCAAGAGCATGTGTGGCCCATGGAAAAGTGAATGTAATCTTCTGACTACCCATTCCACTCAAAGAATGCTTTAGATGACAAGGTCAGATGAATTTGCATTCCTCATTGACTTTCCTGGACTGATTGTCTTTTATATAATGACAGAGCTGTCTGCTTAAATTTTATTAATAACTTCCAAGTTCTCAGTCATATATTTTGATTCTATTTAGGGCATTTTTCTCGGAGCCCTCTGACTTCTTGTTCTAATGTGGAATGATGAATTTCCACACTTCCTATACTACCATTCCTGGAATTTCATTTCATTGTACTCTCTGGGTTACTTCTGTCATTTATTGGATATTGTGTAATAGCTTCAAATCAGAGAGATAGGGAAGGTTGTGAGCACACATCAAGTGATTTTCTGCTATGTAAGGAGCACCTTTGGGTCTTGATATATCTGACAAAGGTCATTTTTTTTATGCTTCCACACTAGATTAATAGTGTGATTGGAGTACAAAATTTGGGTTCAATATTCATTTCCCTCAGAGAACTTTTAGCATCTGTTTCTGCTATAGGAAGTCTGATGTTAATATAATTCTTATTTCTTTGTAGGTTACTACCCCTTCCCTTTTCTGGAAACTGTGAGAATTTCTTTGAAGTTCCTTAGAGTACTAAAATTGATAAGGGAAGTGATGAAATCATATTGCATGTAGCAAACTACTTTTTAATGTTTGCCTGTATTTAGTCATTGTAGTTTCCTGTGACTTTGAGTTAGAAAGTAAACTTATTGGCCCAGCGCAGTGGCTCACGCCTGTAATCCCAACACTTTGGGAGGCCAAGGCGGTCGGATCACCTGAGGTCGAGAGTTCGAGACCATCCTGACCAACACAGAGAAACCCCATCTCTACTAAAAATATGAAATTAGCCAGGCATGGTGGTGCATGCCTGTAATCCCAGCTACTCGGGAGACTGAGGCAGGAGAATCACTTGAACCCAGGAGGCAGAGGTTGCGGTGAGCCGAGATGAGGCCACTGCACTCCAGCCTGGGCAACAAGAGTGAAACTCCGTCTCAAAAAAAAAAAAAGGAAAAAGAAAAGTAGTAAGTACTCTAATGAATAGCTCCCTTCACTTCCCATTCTTTGTCTCTTCTTTGTCACCATCATAGCACAAAGAGAAGTGATGGTAACTTTACTTTTCGCAGCCACTTTCCTTACCTCTACTTTTAAAAGCTTTGCATGTCTTGTAAAGTAAGAACATTTTTAGCCCACAATTTGAACATCACTGAAAATATATAAAGGTTTATAAACTAAGGGCTTTCTCTGGTCATTTGACCTTTATCGTGAGTATCTGTAGCATTCGCCTCCATTTTAGGTAGTGAATTTTTAGAATTCAAAGTTCTGTGTCTTAGCTTACATTAGGCTTATTCAGAGTAGGATATACAATGTGGGGTATGTATGAAAAGCTAATGATCATGATTCGTTACTAGCATTTTGTTTTTAAAAAGTCAGTGTTAAGCTGGGCATGGTAACTCACACCTGTAAACCCAGCAGTTTGGGAGGCCGAGATGGGCAGATCATGAGGTCAGGAGATCAAGACCATCCTAGCTAACAAGGTGAAACCCCGTCTCTACTAAAAATACAAAAAATTAGCTGGGCATGGTGGCATATGCCTGTGGTCCCACCTACTCGGGTGGCTGAGGGAGGAGAACCACTTGAACCCAGGAGGCGGAGGTTGCGGTGAGCCAAGATGGCGTCACTGAACTCCAGCCTGGGCAACAGAGCAAGACTCCGTCTCACAAAAAAAAAAAAAAAAAAAAAAAGTCAGTGTTAATCAAATCTGTTTCACCAGTTGTGCAGCCAGCCTGTTTCTGGTGCTCATGTAGTTCATGTGCAAGTTTGTCAGGTCTTGATTGTTCTACCTTTTAAAAAAAATCAGAATATTTAAATTTCAGTGGTTATTTACCTTTTTTTTTAAGTTTTAGGATTATCAGAACATAACTAACTTTCTCACTAAAATTAAAGGATGAAAATAACTGTACTTTTACTAGATTAGTTGGTGGTTCCTTACCCAAAGATTGAACCAACCACGGATGGGAAATAGTCAGAAAAAATGAAATAAAAGTAACAATACAACAATACAGAATAATACAAATTTTAAAATACAGTATAACAGCTATTTATAAAACATTTATATTGTATTGTGTTGATATTATTAAGTAATCTAGAGATTTAAAGTATATGGGAGGATGTGTGTACGTTATATGCAAATACGACACCATTTTATATCAGGAACCTGAGCGTCTTAAGATTTTGGTATGGGGGAGTGGTCTCTGGAACCAACTCCCTAGAATACTGAGGGACGACTGTACAGTTAAATCTAGGGAGAAAATAAGGTTAGTATGGTGGTAGGAAAGTTAGAACAAAATGCTTTTGTGTTTTGTATTTTAATTATAATGATAATAAAATTGATTATAATATCTCCTAAATATAGAAGGGAAATGACATGGTTTTTGGAATACTGCTAAGTAATTTGGAAAGATCAAATGTAGCCATTTACCAATTTGCTTCATTCCTTTCAGCTTAAATAATCAGTTCTGATTTATATGCTTATTTAAAATCTAACACTAATTTATAATCCTGTATATTTTTGCAGTGGTATAAGATGATTTTTATGGTAGCTGCAGGTACTAATTATTTTGCAACCAAAAGTACTGTAATGCCCAACTAATTAGAACTTGCAGTAATAGATTGGAGATAGACGTTCTATTAGAAAACACACAGCCTTATCAAATTTTCAGTCAATTTGTAACTTTGATATTTTTGGGTAGACTGATTTGGGAAATTGAGTCAGGTGGAGAACCCTGGAGTGTTATTAATGCAATTAAGTGATCCATATCAGTTTTGTAGCTAGTAAGTCCATGTGGGACCCTTGAAAACTTTAAAAGTACTTCCAAACTGCTGTGATATTCTAGTTAAGAACTGATCATGTAAATCTGCTATTTCTTTATCTGTCTAACATAAATCTTATTTTATCCATGTAACTTTTTTTTTTTTTTTTTTTTTGAGACAGAGTCTCACTCTTGTCGCCGAGGCTGGGGTGCCATGGCGTGATCTCAGCTCACAACAACCTCCGCCTCTTGGGTTCAAGCGATTCTCCTGCCTCAACCTCCCAAGTAGCTGGGATTACAGGCATGTGCCACCACGCCCAGCTAATTTTTGTGTTTTTAGTAGAGACGGGATTTCACCATGTTGGCCAGGCCGGTCTCGAACTCCTGACCTCCAGTGATCCACCCGCCTCTGCCTCCCAAAGTGCTGGGATTACAGGTGTGAGCCACTGTGCCCGGCCCCATGTAACTCTCTTTAAAAAAAATAAATATAGTGGCCTAAACAGATAGAAGGAGGGAGAGGAGTGTGATTTAGAATCAAATTGAGGGCCTACTCAAATTATATCTCCTACTAAGCTGAACTCACAGCTGAGAATTGATGTCTTATTGATGGGAGATTGTAGTGTAGTGTAATTTTTCAGGTGGTTTGGGAATTTAAAGAGAAGGTCGAGTACTACACGAAAGTTTTATTATGCTGTTTTATACCCTATATGTCGTTACCTCATTTGCCTTAGAATGAGTTTTTAAAAACAAAGCTTATTTTTCACTTCGTATCATTTACTGTGCATCTCCCTCCCCTGTTCTACCCCATCCCAGCATTTTTTAAAGGTTTTAAATTTGAATTGATAGCATATATTTTTTTCCCCGCTTTACATTTTTAGATTTTAGGTTAAGTACATCCTAACACCTGTGCATATGCAGTAATGTGAAATCTTTAAAAGATCTTACTCAGTTGATCCATTTTGTTGCATTGGCAGAGTGAAGATAGTCCAAGTCCTAAGAGACAGCGCCTCTCTCATTCAGTCTTTGATTATACATCAGCATCACCAGCTCCCTCACCACCAATGCGACCATGGGAGATGACATCAAATAGGCAGCCCCCTTCAGTTCGACCAAGCCAACATCACTTCTCAGGGGAACGATGCAACACACCTGCACGCAACAGAAGAAGGTTAGTTGATTACAATTTATTTCTTAAGTTTTCTTCCATTGGTAGATTTGTGAGTATATTTAACATCAGAAAACATTTTTTCTGTAGGCATTTCATAAACACATCACCACATATACACGTACATTCACTCACGAAAAAGAAAGTTGCCTAGATTTCCAGTAGGTTAGAAGAGTTTATTTAGCTTATCATTGACAGATGAAGAAATGGAAAGAGGCTAAAATCAGTCGATGCCATTATATATGAAATTAGCTACTTAAGGTACAGATTGTTGTGGACTAGCCTGCGATCTTGACTATTAGAAGATGCATTTTGTAGTTCATAACTGTAAGGATATATGGAAGTCTTAGAAATGAGCTACTCCTTTTCTACTCCATTCCTTTTCCTTCTGTATCCTCAAAGGCAATTAGGAGCTTAATTATGTTTCTTATAAACCCATGGAGACTTGGCACAGTAGTAGCTCATGCCTATAATCGCAACATTTTGGGAAGCCAAAGTGGGAGGATCACTTGAGGCCAGGAGTTCGAGACCAGCCTGGGCAACATAGCAAGACCCTGTCTCTCTCAAAAAAACAAAAAATTAGCTGAGGATGTTGGCGCACATCTGTAGTCCAAGATGAAACTGAGACAGGAGGATTGCTTGAGCCCAAGAGTGTAAGGCTGCAATGAACCTTAGCTATGATTGTTCCACTGCACTCTAGCGTTGGTGACAGAATGAGACACTGTATTTAAAAAACAAAACAAAAAACAACTGTGGAGCCCGTGGTATGAAAAGATGACAAGTTTAGTTCAACTTTTAGGCAATGGGATTTGGCCCTTGTCTTTTCATCCTAGAGGAGTGCATTTCTTCCTGAGTTTCTTCCTCATTATTTGTTGCCAGAGGTCATGTATTTCATATCCCAGGGAAATAGTGAGTGCATTGTGAGGTGCATATCCAGGATGTTGAAGGAATATCAATGATCTTGAGTTAGGAAGGTGTTGCAGACCAAATGTTTGTAACCCCTCCTCCCCAATTAATGTGTTGAAGCTGTAACCTTCCTGTAACCCTCAGTGTGGTTGTATTTGGAGATGTGACCTCTAAGGAAGTGTAATTAACGTTAAATGAGGTCATAAGGTTAGGACCCTTACCCAGCAGGATTAATGTCCTTTAAGAAGCAATGCGCCGGGGTGGCTCACGCCTGTTATCCCAGTACTTTGGGAGGCCAAGGTTGGCGGATCACGAGGTCAGGAGACCATCCTGGCCAACATGGTGAAGCCTCGTCTCTACTAAGATGCAAAAAATTAGCCAGCTGTGGTGGTGCGCACCTGTAGTCCCAGCTACTCGGGAGGCTGAGACGGGCGAATCTGAGGCAGGGGAATTGCTTGAACCCAGGAGGCGGAGGTTGCAGTGAGCCAAGACCGCACCACTGCACTCCAGCCTGGAGACAGAGCAAGACTCTGTCTCAAAAAGAGATGTCGGGGAACTCATCCTCCACCATATGAGGAGACAGTGAGATGTAGTTGTCTGCAAGAGCCAGGGAAAAGATCCCTCTCCAAAAACCGACTATGTTGGTACCTTGATTTCAAACTTCTAGGCTTTAAAACTTTGAGAAATTAAGTATCTGTTTAAGCCACCCAGTCTGCAATGTTTTGTTATGGCAGCCTGAGCGGGCTAATGCAGAAGGGATCTTAAAACCAGCATTCTGTGTTCCAGCTGAAAGAACATAAACCTGTCTCTGAGCTCTATTCTGTTGAGACATTAAGACTTTTACATTACCCAGTACCTTATTAACCAATTACATGGGAATGTTTTTAGGTAAGATAGTATATGGCTAGCAGATAAAGTATTTTATAGCTATTAAATATAATAAGCATGAGAAAGTATAGTTATTGCAAAGTTAAGGCCTGAGTACCTGCTGTAGTCTTCCTATTTTATGATGAATAAAACAAATGTACAGTTAAAAGGCAGGCCGGGCGCAGTGGCTCGCACCTGTAATCCCAGCACTTTGGGAGGCCGAGGTGGATGGATCACCTGAGATCAGGAGTTCGAGACCAGCCTGACCAACATGGTGAAACCCTGTCTCTACCAAAAATACAAAATTAGCCGGGTGTGCATTGCACTCCAGCCTAGGCAACAAAAGCGAAACTCCATCTTAAAACAAAAAACAAAAAAAGGCTAGCAAGGCCGGGTGCGGTGGCTGACAACGTGTAATCCCAGCGCTTTGGGAGGCCGAGGCAGGCGGATCACCTGAAGTCAAGAGTTCGAGACCAGCCTGGGCAAAATGGCAAAACCTGAGATCGCGCCACTGCACTCCAGCCTGG